>NC_000015.10:88410975-88562490 GCF_000001405.40 Homo sapiens | reverse complement strand
TGTATGGATATACCACCTTTTGTTTATCCATTCATCTACTGGTAGACACTTAGGTTTTTTCCATACGTTATCTATTATAAATAATACTGCTATGAACATTTGTGTCCAAGTTTTTGTGTGGACACGTTTTAATTTCTCTTGGTTATATACTGAGAGGTACTTCTGGGTCAAATGGTAACTTCATGTTTAACTTTTTGAGGAATGGCTAAACTGTTTTCCACAGTGACTGTCAGGCCTCTGAGGCCAAGCCAAGCCATTGCATCCCCTGTGACCTGCACGTATAAGCCCAGATGGCCTGAAGTAACTGAAGAATCACAAAAGAAGTGAATATGCCCTGCCCCACCTTAACTGATGACATTCCAACACAAAAGAAGTGTAAATGGCCAGTCCTTGCCTTAAGTGATGACATTACCTTGTAAAAGTCCTTTTCCTAGCTCATCCTGGCTCAAAAAGCACCCCCACTGAGCACCTTGTGACCCCCCACTCCTGCCCGCCAGAGAACAAACCCCCTTTGACTGTAATTTTCCTTTACCTACCCAAATCCTATAAAATGGCCCCACCCTTATCTCCCTTCACTGACTCTCTTTTCAGACTCAGCCCACCTGCACCCAGGTGAAATAAACAGCTTTATTGCTCACACAAAGCCTGTTTGGTGGTCTCTTCACACGGACGCGCATGAAATTTGGTGCCGTGACTCGGATCAGGGGACCTCCCTTGGGAGATCAATCCCTTGTCCTCCTGTTCTTTGCTCCATGAGAAAGATCCACTTACAACCTCAGGTACTCAGACTGACCAGCCCAAGAAACATCTCACCAATTTCAAATCTGGTAAGCGGCCTCTTTTTACTCTCTTCTCCAACCTCCCTCACTATCCCTCAACCTCTTTCTCCTTTCAATCTTGGTGCCACACTTCAATCTCTCCCTTCTCTTAATTTCAATTCCTTTCATTTTCTGGTAGAGACAAAGGAGACACGTTTTATCCGTGGACCCAAAACTCCGGCGCTGGTCACGGACTGGGAAGGCAGCCTTCCCTTGGTGTTTAATCATTGCAGGGACACCTCTCTGATTATTCACCCACGTTTCAAAGGTGTCAGACCACAGAGGGATGCCTGCTTTGGTCCTTCACTCTTAGCGGCAAGTCTCGCTTTTCTGGGGAAGGGGCAAGTACCCCAACCCCTTCTCTCCTTGTCTCTACCCCTTCTCTGCTTTTCTGAGGGAGGGGCAAGTACCCCTCAACCCCTTCTCCTTCACCCCTAGCGGCAAGTCCTGCTTTTCTATGGGGCAAGAACCCCCAATCCCTTATTTCCACGCCCGAACCTCTTATCTCTGTGCCCCAATCCCTTATTTCTGCGCCCCAACCTCTTATATCTCTGCGCCCCAATCCCTTATTTCCGCACCCCATCCCTTATTTCCATGCCCTGACCTCTTATGTCTGCACCCCAACCCCTTTTCCCACTTTTCTGGAAGGTAAGAACCCCCGAACCCCTTCCCTCTGTTTCTCTACTCTCTCTTTTCTCTAGGCTTGCTTCCTTCACTATGGGCAACCTTCCACCCTCCATTCCTCCTTCTACTCCCTTGGCCTGTGTTCTCAAAAACTTAAAACCTCTTCAACTCACACCTGGCCTAAAACCTAAATGCCTTATTTTCTTCTGCAATGCCGCTTGACCCCAATACAAACTCGACAGTAGTTACAAATAGCCAGAAAACGGCACTTTGAATTTTTCCATCCCGCAAGATCTAAATAATTCTTGTCGTAAAATAGGCAAACGGTCTGAGGTGCCTGATGTCCAGGCATTCTTTTACACATCAGTCCCTTCCTAGTCTCTGTGCCCAGTGCAACTCGTCCCAAATCTTCCTTCTTTCCCTCCTGCCTGTCCTCTCAGTACCAACCCCAAGCATCACTGAGTCTTTCTAATATTCCTTTTCTACAGACCCATCTGACCCTCTCCCTTCCTCCCCAGGCTGCTCCTCGCCAGGCCAAGCTAGGTCCCAATTCTTCCTCAGCCTCTGCTCCTCCACCCTATAATCTTTTTATCACCTCCCCTCCTCACACCTGGTCCGGCTTAAGGTTTCCTTCCATGACTAGCCCTCCCTGTCCTGCCCAGCAATTTACTCTTAAAAAGGTGGCTGGAGCTAAATGCATAGTCAAGGTTAATGCTCCTTTTTCTTTATCCCAAATCAGATAGCATTTAGGCTCTTTCTCATCAAATATAAAAATCCAGATTTTAGAGGAGCCAAGATGGCTGAATAGGAACAGCTCTGGTCTACAGCTCCCAGCGTGAGCAATGCAGAAGATGGGTGATTTCTGCATTTCCAACTGAGGTACCGGGTTCATCTCACTAGGGAGTGCCAGACAGTGGGTGCAAGTCAGTGGGTGCACGCACCATGCGCGAGCCGAAGCAGGGCGAGGCATTGCCTCACTCGGGAAGCACAAGGGGTCGGGGAGTTCCCTTTCCTAGTCAAAGAAAGGGGTGACAGACGGCACCTGGAAAATCGGGTCACTTCCACCCGAATACTGCGCTTTTCCCACGGGCTTAAAAAATGGCGCACCAGGAGATTATATCCTGCACCTGGCTCGGAGGGTCCTACGCCCACGGAGTCTCACTGATTGCTAGCACAGCAGTCTGAGATCAAACTGCAAGGCGGCAGCGAGACTGGGGGAGGGGTGCCCACCATTGCCCAGGCTTGCTTAGGTAAACAAAGCAGCCCACAAGCTTGAACTGGGTGGAGCTCACCACAGCTCAAGGAGGCCTGCCTGCTTCTGTAGGCTCCACCTCTGGTGGCAGGGCGCAGACAAACAAAAAGACAGCAGTAACCTCTGCAGACTTAAATGTCCCAGTCTGACAGCTTTGAAGAGAGCAGTGGTTCTCCCAGCATGCAGCTGGAGATCTGAGAACGGGCAGACTGCCTCCTCAAGTGGGTCCCTGACCCCTGACCCCCAAGCAGCTTAACTGGGAGGCACCCCCCAGCAGGGGCAGACTGACACCTCACATGGCCGGGTACTCCAACAGACGCAGCTGAGGGTCCTGTCTGTTAGAAGGAAAACTAACAAACAGAAAGGACATCCACACCAAAAACCCATCTGTACATCACCATCATCGAAGACCAAAAGTAGATAAAACCACAAAGATGGGGAAAAAACAGAGCAGAAAAACTGGAAACTCTAAAAAGCAGAGCGCCTCTCCTCCTCCAAAGGAACGCAGTTCCTCACCAGCAATGGAACAAAGCTGGACAGAGAATGACTTTGACGAGCTGAGAGAAGAAGGCTTCAGACGATCAAATTACTCTGAGCTATGGGAGGAAATTCAAATCAAAGGCAAAGAAGTTGAAAACTTTGAAAAAAGTTTAGAAGAATGTATAACTAGAATAACCAATACAGAGAAGTGCTTAAAGGAGCTGATGGAGCTGAAAACCAAGCCTCGAGAACTACCTGAAGAATGCAGAAGCCTCAGGAGCCGATGCAATCAACTGGAAGAAAGGGTATCAGCGATGGAAGATGAAGTGAATGAAATGAAGTAAGAAGGGAAGTTTAGAGAAAAAAGAATAAAAAGAAACGAGCAAAGCCTCCAAGAAATATATGACTATGTGAAAAAACCAAATCTACGTCTGATTGGTGTATCTGAAAGTGATGGGGAGAATGCAACCAAGTTGGAAAACACTCTGCAGGATATTATCCAGGAGAACTTCCCAAATCTAGCAAGGCAGGCCAACATTCAGATTCAGGAAATACAGAGAACGCCACAAAGATACTCCTTGAGAAGAGCAACTCCAAGACACATAATTGTCAGATTCACCAAAGTTGAAATGAAGGAAAAAATGTTAAGGGCAGCCAGAGAGAAAGGTCGGGTTACCCACAAAGGGAAGCCCATCAGACTAAGAGTGGATCTCTCGGCAGAAACTCTACAAGCCAGAAGAGAGTGGGGGACAATATTCAACATTCTTAAAGAAAAGAATTTGCAACCCAGAATTTCATATCCAGCCAAACTAAGCTTCATAAATGAAGGAGAAATAAAATACTTTACAGACAAGCAAATGCTGAGAGATTTTGTCACCACCAGGCCTGCCCTAAAAGAGCTCCTGAAGGAAGTGCTAAACATGGAAAGGAAAAACCGATACCAGCTGCTTCAAAATCATGCCAAAATGTAAAGACCATCAAGGCTAGGAAGAAACTGCATGAACTAATGAGCAAAATCACCAGCTAACATCATAATGACAGGATCAAATTCACACATAACAATGTTAACTTTAAATGTAAATGGACTAAATGCTCCAATTAAAAGGCACAGACTGGCAAATTGGATAATGAGTCAAGACCCATCAGTGTGCTGTATTCAGGAAACCCAACTCCTGGGCAGAGACACACATAGGCTCAAAATAAAAGGATGGAGGAAGATCTACCAAGCAAATGGAAAACAAAAAAAGGCAGGGGTTGCAATCCTAGGCTCTGATAAAACAGACTTTAAACCAACAAAGATCAAAAGAGACAAAGAAGGCCATTACATAATGGTAAAGGGATCAATTCAACAAGAAGAGCTGACTATCCTAAATATATATGCACCCAATACAGGAGCACCCAGATTCATAAAGCAAGTCCTCAGTGACCTACAAAGAGACTTAGACTCCCACACATTAATAATGGGAGACTTTAACACCCCACTGTCAACATTAGACAGATCAATGAGACAGAAAGTCAACAAGGACACCCAGGAATTGAACTCAGCTCTGCACCAAGTGGACCTAATAGACATCTACAGAACTCTCCACCCCAAATCAACAGAATATACATTTTTTTCAGCACCACCCCACACCTATTCCAAAATTGACCACATACTTGGAAGTAAAGCTCTCCTCAGCAAATGTAAAAGAACAGAAATTATAATAAACTATCTCTCAGACCACAGTGCAATCAAACTAGAACTCAGGATTAAGAATCTCACTCAAAACCACTCAACTACATGGAAACTGAACAACCTGCTCCTGAATGACTACTGGGTACATAACAAAATGAAGGCAGAAATAAAGATGTTCTTTGAAACCAATGAGAACAAAGACACAACATACCAGAATCTCCGGGATGCATTCAAAGCAGTGTGTAGAGGTAAATTTATAGCAACAAATGCCCACAAGAGAAAGCAGGAAAGATCCAAAATTGACACCCTAACATCACAATTAAAAGAGCTAGAAAGGCAAGAGCAAACACATTCAAAAGCTAGCAGAAGGCAAGAAATAACTAAAATCAGAGCTGAACTGAAGGAAATAGAGACACAAAAAACCCTTCAAAAAATTAATGAATCCAGGAGCTGGTTTTTTGAAAGGATCAACAAAATTGATAGACCACTAGCAAGACTAATAAAGAGAAAAAAAGAGAAGAATCAAATAGATGCAATAAAAAATGATAAAGGGGATATCACCACCGATCCCACAGAAATACAAACTACCATAAGAGAATACTACAAACACCTCTATGCAAATAAACTAGAAAATCTAGAAGAAATGGATAAATTCCTCAACACATACACTCTCCCAAGACTAAACCAGGAAGAAGTTGAATCTCTGAATAGACCAATAACAGGAGCTGAAATTGTGGCAATAATCAATAGCTTACCAACCAAAAAGAGTCCAGGACCAGATGGATTCACAGCTGAATTCTACCAGAGGTACAAGGAGGAACTGGTACCATTCCTTCTGAAACTATTCCAATCAATAGAAAAAGAGGGAATCCTCCCTAACTCATTTTATGAGGCCAGCATCATCCTGATATCAAAGCCTGGCAGAGACACAACCAAAAAAGAGAATTTTAGACCAATATCCTTGATGAACATGGATGCAAAAATCCTCAATAAAATACTGGCAAACCGAATCCAGCAGCACATCGAAAAGCTTATCCACCATGATCAAGTGGACTTCATCCCTGGGATGCAAGGCTGGTTCAATATACGCAAATCAATAAACGTAATCCAGCATATAAACAGAACCAAAGACAAAAACCACATGATTATCTCAATAGCTGCAGAAAAGACCTTTGACAAAATTCAACAACCCTTCATGCTAAAAACTCTCAATAAATTAGGTATTGATGGGACATATCTCAAAATAATAAGAGCTATCTATGACAAACCCACAGCCAATATCATACTGAATGGGCAAAAACTGGAAACATTCATTCCCTTTGAAAACTGGCACAAGAGAGGGATGCCCTCTCTCACCACTCCTATTCAACATAGTGTTGGAAGTTCTGGCCAGGGCAATCAGGCAGGAGAAGGAAATAAAGGGTATTCAATTAGGAAAAGAGGAAGTCAAATTGTCCCTGTTTGCAGATGACATGATTGTATATCTAGAAAACCCCATTGTCTCAGCCCAAAATCTCCTTAAGCTGATAAGCAACTTCAGCAAAGTCTCAGGATACAAAATCAATGTGCAAAAATCACAAGCATTCTTATACACCAACAACAGACAAACAGAGAGCCAAATCATGAGTGAACTCCCATTCACAATTGCTTCAAAGAGAATAAAATACCTAGGAATCCAACTTACAAGGGATATGAAGGACCTCTTCAAGGAGAACTACAAACCACTGCTCAATGAAATAAAAGAGGATACAAACAAATGGAAGAACATTCCATGCTCATGGGTAGGAAGAATCAATATCGTGAAAATGGCCATACTGCCCAAGGTAATTTACAGATTCAATGCCATCCCCATCAAGCTACCAATGACTTTCTTCACAAAATTGGAAAAAACTACTTTAAAATTCATATGGAACCAAAAAAGAGCCCACATCACCAAGTCAGTCCTAAGCCAAAACAACAAAGCTGGAGGCATCACACTACCTGACTTCAAACTATACTACAAGGCTACAGTAACCAAAACAGCATGGTACTGGTACCAAAACAGAGATATAGATCAATGGAACAGAACAGAGCCCTCAGAAATAACGCCGCATATCTACAACCATCTGATCTTTGACAAACCTGAGAAAAACAAGCAATGGGGAAAGGATTCCCTATTTAATAAATGGTGCTGGGAAAATTGGCTAGCCATACGTAGAAAGCTGAAACTGGATCCCTTCCTTACACCTTATACAAAAATCAATTCAAGATGGATTAAAGACTTAAACGTTAGACCTAAAACCATAAAAACCCTAGAAGAAAACCTAGGCATTACCATTCAGGACATAGGCATGGGCAAGGACTTCATGTCTAAAACACCAAAAGCAATGGCAACAAAAGGCAAAATTGACAAATGGGATCTAATTAAACTAAAGACCTTCTACACAGCAAAATAAACTACCATCAGAGTGAACAGGCAACCTACAAAATGGGAGAAAATTTTCACAACCTACTCATCTGACAAGGGGCTAATATCCAGAATCTACAATGAACTCAAACAAATTTACAAGAAAAAAACAAACAACCCCATCAAAAAGTGGGCAAAGGACATGAACAGACACTTCTCAAAAGAAGACATTTATGCAGCCAAAAAACACATGAAAAAATGCTCACCATCACTGGCCATCAGAGAAATGCAAATCAAAACCACTATGAGATACCATCTCACACCAGTTAGAATGGCATTCATTAAAAAGTCAGGAAACAACAGGTGCTGGAGAGGATGTGGAGAAATAGGAACACTTTTACACTGTTGGTGGGACTGTAAACTAGTTCAACCATTGTGGAAGTCAGTGTGGCGATTCCTCAGGGCTCTAGAACTAGAAATACCATTTGACCGAGCCATCCCATTACTGGGTATATACCCAAAGGACTATAAATCATGCTGCTATAAAGACACATGCACACGTATGTTTATTGTGGCATTATTCACAATAGTAAAGACTTGGACATTTGGGTTGCCAAATGTCCAACAATGATAGACTGGATTAAGAAAATGTGGCACGACTGTGTGTTTATAAAGGAAGAGTATTCATTCTCTCCCTCTCCCTCTCCCTCTCCCTCTCCCTCTCCCTCTCCCTCTCCCTCTCCGTCTCCCTCTCCGTCTCCCTCTCCGTCTCCCTCTCCGTCTCCCTCTCCGTCTCCCCATGGTCTCCCTCTCATGCGGAGCCGAAGCTGGACTGTACTGCTGCCATCTCGGCTCACTGCAACCTCCCTGCCTGATTCTCCTGCCTCAGTCTGCCGAATGCCTGCGATTGCAGGCATGCGCCGCCACGCCTGACTGGTTTTGGTGGAGACGGGGTTTCGCTGTGTTGGCCGGGCCGTTCTCCAGCCCCTAACCGCGAGTGATCCGCCAACCTCGGCCTCCCGAGGTGCCGGGATTGCAGACGGAGTCTCGTTCACTCAGTGCTCAATGGTGCCCAGGCTGGAGTGCAGTGGCGTGATCTCGGCTCACTACAACCTACACCTCCCAGCCGCCTGCCTTGGCCTCCCAAAGTGCCGAGATTGCAGCCTCTGCCCGGCCACCACCCCGTCTGGGAAGTGAGGAGTGTCTCTGCCTGGCCACCCATCGTCTGGGATGTGAGGAGCCCCTCTGCCTGGCTGCCCAGTCTGGAAAGTGAGGAGCGTCTCCGCCCAGCCGCCATCCCATCTAGGAAGTGAGGAGCGCCTCTTCCCAGCCGCCATCACATCTAGGAAGTGAGGAGCGTCTCTGCCCGGCCGCCCATCGTCTGAGATGTGGGGAGCGCCTCTGCCCCGCCGCCCCATCTGGGATGTGAGGAGCGCCTCTGCCCGGCGAGACCCCGTGTGGGAGGTGAGGAGCGTCTCTGCCCGGCTGCCCCGTCTGAGAAGTGAGGAGACCCTCTGCCTGGCAACCACCCCGTCTGAGAAGTGAGGAGCCCCTCCGCCCGGCAGCTGCCCCGTCTGAGAAGTGAGGAGCCTCTCCGCCCGGCAGCCACCCCATCTGGGAAGTGAGGAGCGTCTCCGCCCGGCAGCCACCCCGTCCGGGAGGGAGGTGGGGGGGGGGTCAGCCCCCCGCCCGGCCAGCCGCCCCATCCGGGAGGGAGGTGGGGGGTCGGCCCCCCGCCCGGCCAGCCGCCCCGTCCGGGAGGGAGGTGGGGGGGTCAGCCCCCCGCCCGGCCAGCCGCCCCGTCCGGGAGGTGAGGGGCGCCTCTGCCCGGCCGCCCCTACTGGGAAGTGAGGAGCCCCTCAGCCTGGCCAGCCACCCCGTCCGGGAGGGAGATGGGGGGGTCAGCCCCCCCACCCGGCCAGCCGCCCCGTCCGGGAGGGAGGTGGGGGGGTCAGCCCCGCCTGGCCAGCCACCCCGTCCGGGAGGGAGGTGGGGGGGTCGGCCCCCCGCCCGGCCAGCCGCCCCATCTGGAGGGAGGTGGGGGGTCGGCCCCCGCCCGGCCAGCCGCCCCGTCCGGGAGGGAGGTTGGGGGGTCAGCCCCCCTGCCCGGCCAGCTGCCCCGTCCAGGAGGTGAGGGGCGCCTCTGCCTGGCCGCCCCTACTGGGAAGTGAGGAGCCCCTCAGCCCGGCCAGCCACCCCGTCCGGGAGGGAGATGGGGGGGTCAGCCCCCCCACCCAGCCAGCCACCCCGTCCGGGAGGGAGGTGGGGGAGTCAGCCCCCCGCCTGCCAGCCGCCCCGTCCGGGAGGGAGGTGGGGGGGTCAGCCCTCCGCCCGCCAGCCGCCCTGTCTGGGAGGTGAGGGGCGCCTCTGCCCGGCCGCCCCTACTGGGAAGTGAGGAGCCCCTCTGCCCGGCCAGCCGCCCCGTCCGGGAGGGAGGTGGGGGGGTCGGCCCCCCGCCCGGCCAGCCGCCCCGTCCGGGAGGGAGGTGGGGGGGTCAGCGCCCCACCCGGCCAGCCGCCCCGTCCGGGAGGGAGGTGGGGGGGGTCAGCCCCCCTGCCCGGCCAGCCACCCCGTCCGGGAGGTGAGGGGCGCCTCTGCCCGGCCGCCCCTACTGGGAAGTGAGGAGCCCCTCTGCCCGCCAGCCGCCCCGTCCGGGAGGGAGGTGGGGGGGGTCAGCCCCCCGCCCGGCCAGCCGCCCCGTCCGGGAGGGAGGTGGGGGGGTCAGCCCCCCGCCCGGCCAGCCGCCCCGTCCGGGAGGTGAGGGGCGCCTCTGCCCAGCCGCCCCTACTGGGAAGTGAGGAGCCCCTCTGCCCGGCCAGCCGCCCCGTCCGGGAGGGAGGTGGGGGGTTCAGCCCCCCGCCCGGCCAGCCGCCCCGTCCGGGAGGGAGGTGGGGGGGGTCAGCCCCCCTGCCCGGCCAGCCGCCCCGTCCAGGAGGTGAGGGGCGCCTCTGCCCGGCCGCCCCTACTGGGAAGTGAGGAGCCCCTCTGCCCGGCCACCACCCCGTCTGGGAGGTGTGCCCAATAGCTCATTGAGAACGGGCCAGGATGACAATGGCGGCTTTGTGGAATAGAAAGGCGGGAAAGGTGGGGAAAAGATTGAGAGATCGGATGGTTGCTGTGTCTGTGTGGAAGGAAGTAGACATGGGAGACTTTTCATTTTGTTCTGCACTAAGAAAAATTCCTCTGCCTTGGGATCCTGTTGATCTGTGACCTTACCCCCAACCCTGTGCTCTCTGAAACATGTGCTGCGTCCACTCAGAGTTAAATGGATTAAGGGCGGTGCAAGATGTGCTTTGTTAAACAGATGCTTGAAGGCAGCATGCTCGTTAAGAGTCATCACCAATCCCTAATCTCAAGTAACCAGGGACACAAACACTGCGGAAGGCCGCAGGGTCCTCTGCCTAGGAAAACCAGAGACCTTTGTTCACTTGTTTATCTGCTGACCTTCCCTCCACTATTGTCCCATGACCCTGCCAAATCCCCCTCTGTGAGAAACACCCAAGAATTATCAATTAAAAAAAAAAAAAATAAATAAATAAATAAATAAATAAATAAATAAAAGAAAATGTGGCACATATACACCATGGAATACTATGCAGCCATAAAAAATGATGAGTTCATGTCCTTTGTAGGGACATGGATGAAATTGGAAATCATCATTCTCAGTAAACTATCGCAAGAACAAAAAACCAAACTCCGCATATTCTCACTCATAGGTGTGAATTGAACAATGAGATCACATGGACACAGGAAGGGGAACATCACACTCTGGGGACTGTTGTGGGGTGAGGGGAGGGGGGAGAGATAGCATTGGGAGATATACCTAATGCTAGATGACGAGTTAGTGGGTGCAGCGCACCAGCATGGCACATGTATACATATGTAACTAACCTGCACATTGTGCACATGTACCCTAAAACTTAAAGTATAATAATAAAATAAAAAAAAAAAAATCCAGTACAGTTCATGACTTGTTTGGCAGCAATCCTGAGACACTTTACAGCCCTAGACCCTAAAAGGTCAAAAGGCCGTCTTATTCTCAAAATACATTTTATTACCCAATCTGCTCCCGTCATTAAATAAAGCTCCAAAAATTAAATTCCGGCCCTGAAACCCCACAAGAGGATTTAATTAACCTCGCCTTCAAGGTGTACAATAATAGAAAAAAGTTGCAATTCCTTGCCTCCACTGCGAGACAAACCCCAGCCACATCTCCAGCACATAAGAACTTCCAAACACCTGAAGTGCAGCGGCCAGGCATTCCTCCAGAACCTCCTCCCACAGGAGCTTGCTACACGTGCTGGAAATCTGGCCACTGGGCCAAGGAATGCCCGCAGCCTGGGATTCCTCCTAAGCTGCGTCCCACCTGTGTGGGACCCCACTGAAAATCGGACTGTTCAACTTACCTGGCAGCCACTCCCAGAGCCCCTGGAACTCTGGCCCAAGGCTCTCTGACTGACTCCTTCCCAGATCTTCTCGGCTTAGCGGCTGAAGACTGACAGTGTCCGATCGCCTCAGAAGCCCCCTAGACCATCATGGATGCCGAGCTTTGGGTAACTCTCACAGTGGAAGGTAAGCCCGTCCCCTTCTTAATCAATATGGAGGCTACCCACTACACATTACCTTCTTTTCAAGGGCCTGTTTCCTTTGCCTCCATAACTGTTGTGGGTATTGACGGCCAGGCTTCTAAACCTCTTAAAACTCCCCAACTCTGGTGCCAACTTAGACAATACTCTTTTAAGCACTCCTTTTTAGTTATCCCCACCTGCCCAGTTCCCTTATTAGGCTGAGACACTTTAACTAAATTATCTGCTTCCCTGACTATTCCTGGACTACAGCTATATCTCATTGCCTCCCTTCTTCCCAATCCAAAGCCTCCTTTGCATCCTCCTCTTGTATCCCCCACCTTAACCCACAAGTATAAGATACGACTACTCCCTCCTTGGCAACCGATCATGCACCCCTTACCATCTCATTAAAACCTAATCACCCTTACCCCACTCAGTGCCAATATTCCACCCCGAAGCATGCTTTAAAAAGATTAAAGCCTGTTATCACTCGCCTGCTACAACATAGCCTTTTAGAACCTATAAACTCTCCTTACAATTCCCCCATTTTACCTGTCCTAAAACCAGACAAGCCTTACAAGTTAGTTCAGGATCTGCACCTTATCAACAAAATTGTTTTGCCTATCCACCCCATGGTGCCAAACCCATATACTCTCCTATCCTCAGTACCTGCCTCTACAACCCATTATTCTGTTCTAGATCTCAAACATGCTTTCTTTACTATTCCTTTGCATCCTTAATCCCAGCCTCTCTTCGCTTTCACTTGGACTGACCCTGACACCCATCAAGCTCAGCAAATTACCTAGGCTGTACTGCCGCAAAGCTTCACAGACAGCCCCCATTACTTCAATCAAGCCCAAATTTCTTCCTCATCTGTTACCTATCTTGGCATAATTCTCATAAAAACACACGTGCTCTCCCTGCCAATCATGTCCGACTGATCTCTCAAACCCCAACCCCTTCTACAAAACAACAACTCCTTTCCTTCCTGGGCATGGTTGGATACTTTCACCTTTGGATACCTGGTTTTGCCATCCTAACAAAACCATTATATAAGCTCACAAAAGGAAACCTAGCTGACCCCATAGATCCTAAATCCTTTCCCCACTCCTCTTTCCGTTCCTTGAAGACAGCTTTAGAAACTGCCCCACTCTAGCTCTCCCTGACTCATCCCAACCCTTTTCATTCCACACAGCTGAAGTGCAGGGCTGTGCAGTTGGAATTCTTACATAAGGACCAGGATCGCATCCTGTAGCCTTTTTGTCCAAACAACTTGACCTTACTGTTTTAGGCTGGCCATGATGTCTCCATGCAGCCACTGCTGCTGCCCTAATACTTTTAGAAGCCCTCAAAATCAAAAACTATGCTCAACTCACTCTCTACAGTTCTCGTAACTTCCAAAATCTATTTTCTTCCTCATACCTGACGCATATGCTTTCTGCTTCCTGGCTCCTTCAGCTGTACTCACTCTTTGTTGAGTCTCCCACAATTACCATTGTTCCTGGCCCAGACTTCAATCCGGCCTCCCACATTATTCCTGATACCACACCTGACCCCCATGACTGTATCTCTCTGATCCACCTGACATTCACCCCATTTCCCCAAATTTCCTTCTTTCCTGTTCCTCACCCTGATCACGCTTGATTTATTGAAGGTGGTTCCACCAGGCCTAATCGCCACACACCAGCAAAGGCAGGTTATGCTATAGTACAAGCCACTAGCCCACCTCTTAGAACCTCTCATTTCATTTCCATCGTGGAAATCTATCCTCAAGGAAATAATTTCTCAGTGTTCCATCTGCTTTTCTACTACTCCTCAGTGATTATTCAGGCCCCCTCCCTTCCCTACACATCAAGCTCGAGGATTTGCCCCACCCAGGACTGGCAACTTAGCTTTACTCAACATGCCCTGAGTCAGATAACTAAAATACCTCTTAGTTCAGGTAGACACTTTCACTGGATAGGTAGAGGCATTTCCTACAGGGTCCGAGAAGGCCACCGCAGTCATTTCTTCCCTTCTGTCAGACATAATTCCTCAGTTTAGCCTTCCCACCTCAATACAGTCTGATAACAGACGAGCCTTTATTAGTCAAATCAGCCAAGCAGTTTTTCAGGCTCTTAGTATTCAGTGAAACCTTTATATCCCTTACAGTCCTCCGTCTTCAAGAAAAGTAGAATGGACTAAAGGTCTTTTAAAAACACACCTCTCCAAGCTCAGCCACCAACTTAAAAAGGACTGGACAATACTTTTACCACTTTCCCTTCTCAGAATTCAGGCCTGTCCTCAGAATGCTACAGGGTACAGCCCATTTAAGCTCCTGTATAGATGCTCCTTTTTATTAGGCCCCAGTCTTATTCCAGACACCAGACCAACTTAGACTGTGCCCCAAAAAAACTTGTCATCCCTGCTATCTTCTGTCTAGTCATACTCCTATTCACCGTTCTCAACTACTCATACATGCCCTGCTCTTGTTTACACTGCCCTGCTCTTGTTTACATTGTTTTTCTAAGCCATCACAGCTGATATCTCCAGGTGCTATCCACAAACTGCCACTCTTAACTCTTGAAGTAAATAAATAATCTTTGCTGGCAGGACTATGCTGAATCTCCTTAGGCACTCTCTAATCAGATATCCTGAGTCATCCCAATTCTTAGACCTTTTATACCTGTTTTTCTCCTTTTGTTATTCCATTTGGTTTCTCAATTCATCCAAAACCATATCCAGGCCATCACCAATCATTCTATATGACAAATGTTTCTTCTAACATCCCCACAATATCACCCCTTACCACAAGACCTCCCTTCAGCTTAATCTCTCCCACTCTAGGTTCCCACGCCACCCCTAATCCCGCTTGAGGCAGCCCTGAGAAACATCGCTCATTCTCTCTCCATACCACCCCCCAAAAATTTTTGCCGCCCCAACACTTCAACACTATTTTTATTTTTCTTATTAATATAAGAAGGCAGGAATGTCAGGCCTTTGAGCCCAAGCCAAGCCATCGCATCCCTTGTGACTTGCACATATAAGCCCAGATGGCCTGAAATAAGTGAAGAATCACAAAAGAAGTGAGTATGCCCTGCCCCACCTTAACTGATGACATTCCACCACAAAAGAAGTGTAAATGACCGGTCCTTGCCTTAAGTGATGACATTACCTTGTAAAAGTCCTTTTCCTAGCTCATTCTGGCTCAAAAAGCACCCCCACTGAGCACCTTGCGACCCCCACTCCTGCCCGTGAGAGAACAAGCCCCCTTTGACTGTAATTTTCCTTTACCTACCCAAATCCTATAAAACAGCCCCACCCTTATCTCCCTTCGCTGACTCTCTTTTCGGACTCAGCCCACCTGCACCCAGGTGAAATAAACAGCTTTATTGCTCACACAAAGCCTGTTTGGTGGTCTCTTCACACGGACGCCCATGAAAGTGACTGCACCCATCCCAGCAGCAGTGTATGAGGCTTTTGATTTCTCCACCTCCTCACCAGTATGTGATATCTTCCTTTTAAAGATATTATAGCCATCCTAAGGGGTATGAAGTAGTATCTCATTGTTTTGATTTGCATTTCTCTGATAATTAATGATGTTGAAGGTCTTTTTGTTAGGGAAGCAGGAGCCTACGAGAGCCAGAGTGACATCATTTTAAAATCAACTCCATCTTAAAACTAGCAAGGCAAATTCCCTGTTAGTCAGAGATGATCAATACAATCTCAGTCTTCAAGGTGCTCGCCATCTAGAAGATAACAGAGTAGGAAGTTTCTCAGCATCTAATCAATAGGTGAAAAATTAATTCTATTCATATTTTTTCAAATGTGCCCAGCAGGTGCAGAGACACTGCCATTGGGACTCACAGAGATTGCCAGGTTAGGTGCCATTTTAATTTTTCCTTCGGAGCCATGGAGCCTCTACGGCTTCGATCCTTCCTCCGGGCACAAGGGTGCGCTGTACCTGTCTCTTAGTGTTGGCTGAACAGTGCCGTGCTCTCCCCTACTTCCCTTTTTGCTGGGCCGCAGTTCCGGTGGCTGGCGGAAACGGGAACGTGCAGCCGCGGGTGCAGGAGTCCTGGGGCATGGCGGGGGCGGGGCAGGGGGAGGCGCGCACAGAACAGGCTGGGGCATCCCTCGCCCTGGCTCTTTGAGCCCGGACCAGACAGGTGAGGACTTACCATTTTTGGCCCAGCCTCCAAGCCCGTCAGACCCTCCCCGGCAGGCTCCTCCCTGCATGACGCTGATGCCCAGAGGCCCCGCGGCCCCCGCCCTCCCTCAGCATTCTCTTCCCTTTGAGGCCCCGCCCCAGGCTTTTCTTTCCGGGGGCGCCCTTTTGGGTATGTGTGCCCGCCCCTTGGCATCCCCTTCTGGTTTAGAGGCCGTCGCAAGGAATTGAGGGACATGTGCACCTTCTCCCATAGGGAAACTGAGACCCAGCAAGGGTAAAGGACTTAGTACCACACAGTGAGTTAGTGTGTTGTACCCAGGGGTGTTAGAGAAAACGCCACACTTTGAGACGAATTAAGAGTCCTTTATTAGCCGGTGACCGAGAGACCGCTAACGCTCAAAATTCTCTCGGCCCTGAGGAAGGGGCTTGATTAACTTTTATACCTTGGTTTAGGAAGGGGAGGGGGGGTCTAGTTAAAACAATTTTACAGAAGTTAGGTAGTCAAAAAGTTAAAAGGATAAATGGTTACAGGAAAGTAAACAGTTCCAGGTGCAGGGGCTTTATGACTATTACAAGGTGATAGACGTGGGGCTTTGGGTGTTATCAATCAGATGAATTCTTGGGGACTGTGGATATAGCTTGCCACAGTATCTTATCAGTTAATTGCATTCTTGGATGTGCTGGGAGTCAGCTTGCACAAGTTAAGTCCTTGAGGAAGGGGCTGCCAGTGAAAGAGCCAAGATGGAGTCTGTCTGGCTCTCTTAGCTAAGGGAGAGTCTAAAAACAGAGTTAGTAAAAACCAGGTTGGGCATTACATTCCCCACTTGTGTTTTTGGGGAATCAAATCATTGATTCCTCAGTTTTAACAAGGGGAGTCTTAAGATACATAAGTTTGACAGAAGCTATGCATTGTTTTACAAAATTAAGAAACCAATTTAATATACAAGGCCTAAAAATTAAACTTAATAGTATGATGAGGAGAGGTCCAGCTAACCCAGTGATTAAAGTAGTTAGCCAGGGGTTCCAGTGGAACATGTTTTGATACCAGGGGATGTTATTTTCTCGTTCCTGTTGTTGCCTATCTAGATATTCTCGAACTTTTTGGAGGGTATCTTTTATGACTAAGAATGGTGGAGGAACAGTTAAATCAACTTTGTCAGGGGGTTTCTGGAACATAGGGTCACCTAGAGCAGTTAAAGGCCCGATTGGCTTGGGTGGGCTCCATGAGACCAGGATTTTTATTTCTATTATTTATTTATTTATTTTGGATGGTGAACATAGTCCCAACATCAAATCCTGGAATATAAAATGTTAATTTCCATGACATGCCGTAATATTATTGTAAGAGGATTACAATTTTTTTTTTAGTACATAATTTAGGATGAGAAGCACGAGTTACCGAATGAAGATCTGGTTGATCCCCCAGAGTAGGTGGCTAAGTTTACACATGTCCAATCAGGGCAGAAAAACTGATAAGTATCTCGACAGCTAGCGTCAGGGTGATTCCCAGGACAGAGGTAAAAGTCAACATTTTGGAGTTCTTTTTCTGCACCTTTGGCACTTCCACACATCCAGTTTGGCTCCCAGAGCACCCAAATCCTGCTACAAGGTCGACACTTCCTGCTTTTGGGACAAGCAGATTGTGTTGCTCTTCGTGGGTACAGGCTGGCTTTGGGAACAGTATACATAAAATCAACTGCAAAGGAGACTTCCTTAGAGGTACCGGCCCTCCAAGTGGTGTTTGCAAATACACGTCCTGACTTAGGCACAGTTTTAGAAGGGGCCTGACCGAGGCCTGGGGACCCCTGTTTTTAGTAGGGCTCTGTTGGCCTTTTTGATGCAGGAGTGATGAATCTAAGCAGGAATGCCATCCACCTTCAGAGCCATTGGCGTGAGGATGACGGTGTGAAGTCTTTTCAAAGCAGGAGTGAGTCCTTGTTTCTGAAACTTTTTAACAAACACTAGTTCTCCTGGCTGGAACGAATGGCAGGACCCCGTCTGGTTAGGAATTGGATTGGGATGGTTTCCTTGAACAAGTGGCAGGGTGATATCTTGTACCTGTTGGGGAGATTGTAGGTACTGTAATAAATTAGCTTGTGATATTTCTGCCAGTTGGGCATCTCTTAGCTTAAGCAAGATAGGCGGCGCCCTCCCATACATGATTTTAAAAGGTGAGAACCTAGCCTGATAAAGGGTGCACCTTACTCTAAGTAGGGCTAAAGGAAGGAGACTTACCCAATTTTTACCGGTTTTTAAAATTAATTTTGTAAGAGTGTCTTTTTAGGGTGCGGTTCATGTGTTCTACCTGCCCAGAGCTCTGGGGTCGATAGGCACAATGGAGCTTCCACTGAATGTTTAACGCCTAACTGACCCACTGAGCTATGGACGAGGTGAAGGCAGGTGTATTATCACCCTGCGGCAGCAGGCAGCCCATATTGAGGGATGATTTTATTGAGTAGGAACTTAACTACCGTATTGGCAGTTTCATTTTTGGTAGCAAATGCTTCAGTCTATCTGGAGAAGGTGTCTACTAGTACTAGAAGCTATTTGTACCTAGCCCGGTGTGGTTTTACTTCTGTAAAGTCAATTTCCCACTTTTCTTCTGGCGAGTTTTCTCAGAGACGGTGGCCTAGGCTGGGTTTAGAACCTTGCTTGGCATTTACCTGGGCGCAGGTTGTGCACTGGAGAGCTGCTTGATCTGTTTTTGATAGCCTTTCCTGCTGAGGTGAGTAGCCCACGCTTCTGGTAGATGGCTCCATGTACATGCACAGTAGCAAAGGCGTACCTGCTGTCAGTGTAAATGTTAATACGTTTATCCTTACCCCATCGGAGAGCCTGAGTGAGGGCGATCAATTTAGCTTTTTGCACTGAGGTGTTTGCTGGTAAAGCCTGAGCCCACAACACATCTGTCTCCGTGGTAACAGCTGCACCGGCCTTTCATACTCGCTGCTTGAGAAAGCTGCTACCATCTGTGAACACAGCGGCGTCCGCCTTCTCTAGGGCCACATCTTGAAGATCAGGTCGGCCAGTTTCGGTAGTTTCTAACAGTTCCTTACAGTCTTGGATAGTAGCTGGATTTAAACACCATGTGGGAGAGAAAGTCAAACGAGGCTGATTCAACAACTCTGATATTGTAAAATGCAAGCATCTGACATCCATTTACCTGAAGCACTTTGTAGTAAAGTCTCTACAGCATGAGGAGCTGTAAGGGTTAAATCCTGGCCCAGAATTAACTTATCAGTTTCTTGGACTAGGCTTGCTCTAGCTGCTACTTGGCCATCCAGAGGCCACAGGATCCAGCCTCTTAGATAAATAAGCCATTGGGTGTCTCCAAGGTCTTAAAGTCTGAGTAAGCACCCCCTTAGCAATTCCCTGGCTCTCATGGACAAACAGATGAAAAGGCTTTGAGGTATCTGGGAGGCCTAAAGCAGGGGCTTCAGTTAAAGTCTTTTTCAGATTTTGAAAAGCCTGTTCTTCGGTGTCTGTCCAAATCAATGGGCCATTACCTCTTATAGCAGTATACAAGGGCTTTGCAATCTCCGCAAACCCCAATATCCAGAGATGACAGTATCTCACGGCCCTGTCATTCAGGCTCTTCTGTTGCAGGCAGGGTGAGAACTTTTTGTTTTCTGACTTTTCTTGTGGCAGTAGTGGGCATTCCTTTTTCCAGTGCCTAGTCTGCTTGCAATAGGCACATTGGTCTTTTCCTAGAGAGGCCTGTTCACCTCTTTTACTTTTCTGGTGGGAACCCAAGGTTCCTTGGCCATTTTTTCTGGAATGGGGGCCTTTCCTTTCTGCCCTCTTGGATAGCCATTAGTAAGATTTTTGCTTGTCTTTTATAGGCTTTATCAGCGGCCTTTTCAGCTGCCTGTGTTGCTTGTTTCTGTTTTCATACTCTCGATTGTCAAAAACCTTCTGGGCTATTTCTAAAAGCTGACTGTTATTTATCCCAGTAAATCCTTTCAGTTTCTGGAGCTTTCTCTTAATGTCCAGGGCTGCCTGAGCCTCAAATGCCAAATTAAGAGCGTGGCTATTTTCGGGAGCCACCGGGTCAAAAGGAGTATAAATGCGATAAGCCTCCTGGAGACATTCTAAAAACGCTCCTGGTGACTCATCAGGCCCCTGGACAACTTCAGTTGTCTTAGACAAGTTTATGGGCTTCTGAGTGGCTCCTTTAATATCCGTGAGGAGATACCAGTGAAAATCGTCCAAGGCTCTCCTTCCACCTGAGGAATTTGGGTCCCAATTAGGCCGGGTGGAGGGAATGACCTCCTCCAGGAGGTCTCTAGCTTCCTCCTCAGGCCTACCGGTTAATGCAAGGAAGTGTTTTCTGGCCTCTCTTCAGATGCGCTCCCTCTCCTCAGAGGTAAAGAGAGTTAAAAGGAGCTGTTGGCTGTCATCCTAGGTGGGTCGATGGGTCTGGAGCATGGACTCCATCAGTGAGGTCAAAGCCTGAGGCTTTTCAGAGAAGGGAGGATTATGGGTTTTCCAGTTATACAAGTCAGAAGTAGAAAAAGGGACATAAAACAGGAAGGGGGCTGAGCGCTCATCACCTGGAGGAACTTGTGCCTCTCTCAGTGGTAGTAGAGGGGCTGCTTCCTCCCAGCGCGGTCACAGCCGGGAGGCAATTGGGCGGTGAGCCCACAGGGGACGTCTCCTCGAAGAGACATGTCCTCCCTTCTTCAGAGGGAGGCAAAACAGGGGGAGCCGAACTGGCTGAGGGTCGAGGTGAAAACACGGCCTGGTTCAGGAGGACTTTGGAGGTGGAATTGTGAATGGCACATGAACGGAGCCATGGAGGAGGATTTCTAATCAAACTTAACCATTGATTGATATAGGGAAACTGATCAGGGTGGCCAGGAGTTCCAGTAACAACCCGCCACACGGCTTGAACAATTGTAGGATTCAATGATCCTTTAGAGGGCCACCCAACTCCAAACCTTGGCCATTCTACTTCACAGAGTGTCCGGAGCTTGCCTTTTTAAAGGCAGACTCCGTAATTCTCTGAAAAACCAAGATGTAGGGGTGGGTTGCCCCTACACACCTGTGGGTGTTTCTCGTAAGGTGGGACGAGAGATTTGGAAAAGAAAAAGACACAGAGACAAAGTATAGAGAAAGAAATAAGGGGACCCGGGGAACCAGCGTTCAGCATATGGAGGATCCCGCCAGCCTCTGAGTTCCCTTAGTATTTATTGATCATCTGTGGGTGTTTCTCAAAGAGGAGGATGTGTCAGGGTCACAAGACAATTGTGCGGAGAGGGTCAGCAGACAAACACGTGAACAAAGGTCTTTGCATCATAGACAATGTAAAGGATTAAGTGCTGTGCTTTTAGATATGCATACACATAAACATCTCAATGCTTTACAAAGCAGTATTGCTGCCCGCAGGTCCCACCTCCAGCCCTAAGGCGGTTTTTCCCTATCTCAGTAGATGGAGCATACAATCGGGTTTTATACCGAGACATTCCATTGCCCAGGGACAGGCAGGAGACAGATGCCTTCCTCTTGTCTCAACTGCAAGAGGCATTCCTTCCCCTTTTACTAATCCTCCTCAGCACAGACCCTTTATGGGTGTCGGGCTGGGGGACGGTCAGGTCTTTCCCTTCCCACGAGGCCATATTTCAGACTATCACATGGGGAGAAACCTTGGACAATACCTGGCTTTCCTAGGCAGAGGTCCCTGCGGCCTTCCACAGTTTTTGTGTCCCTGGGTACTTGAGATTAGGGAGTGGTGATGACTCTTAAGGAGCATGCTGCCCTCAAGCATCTGTTTAACAAAGCACATCTTGCACCGCCCTTAATCCATTCAACTCTGAGTTGACACAGCACATGTTTCAGAGAGCACGGGGTTGGGGCTAAGGTCATAGATTAACAGAATCTCAAGGCAGAAGAATTTTTCTTAGTACATAACAAAATGGAGTCTCCTATGTCTACTTCTTTCTACACAGACACAGTAACAATCTGATCTCTCTTGCTTTTCCCCACACCAAGAGAAAAATTTTCCAGCATACATTGGAGGGGGCTCCAACACTTGCAAGGCTGGGAGGAAGTGTTTCCCATTTTTTTTTTTTTTTAGAAGGCAATTTAACAGAATTTGAGCAGAGGTATCAGATCCAACATGGACAGAGAAACTCACTCCCTGGGGGGCTGGAGTATCAGAAAAACAGAATTAACATAACCAGAAAGAACAGAAAAATCACAACAGCTAATACCACTTGCCACATTGCTGTAGCTTTAAGATTGAGGGAGGGGGACTAGAGGCCAGCCTGAGGTCTCCTGGGTCAGTTGGATCTAGGCGTTCTCCCTCTTCTTCTAGATCTGTACCCTAAATACCTTTGGTGTCTCCATGACTCAAAGGCAAATAGCTTAAATTTAGCTCTTTCTTTCAAGGGTTCAAGGAGCGAGAGCAGAGCCAAGTCCTGGAGACACTGAACTTGCTGTCGCAGTGGAAACCGAAATGTGCAGAGTAGGGGGCAGGGACGAGGGGGAAAGGGACCACTCAGGTCATTTTTAAGATGAGAGAGTAGCCACAGGGGAACAGAGTAGGAGTCTAAACGAAGTAAAGCATGACAGGTGTAGGTTTCCCTACACAGTGTTCTGTTTAAGGGCACAGGAAAAGTTACAGAATGACAAAAAAGGTGAGCAAGGAAATCTGCAGGGTGGCTGTTTTGAACCCACCACCGGTTTAATCTAGAGGAGGTCCAATCACTTGGATGTGGGGTATGGCAATCTAAATGCCCACAACTTCCATGGTGCCAGAGATTTCAATCAGATGAATGTTCTTCACACTCATTCCTGTAACAACACCTTACTTGCCTCTGGCAGAAAAGACAGGACTGTGGTGGCCAGCCTGAACAACCGATGAGAAATTTAACCTCTTGTGACAAAAAAATCAGCACTAAGGACCTTGAAGAAGTTTTTACCCAGACGTCTTGGGCAATACCGACGTCCTGACATGCAAAACCTTGACAACCACTAAACAAGACAATAAACACTAAGCAGAAAAATAAACATAAAACAAACAATTTGACCCTAGGGCAGGTAAACAGTTTTGACAGTTTTTTCCTTTTTTTTTTTTTTTTTTTTTTTAGACAGACAAGGGGGGGCCCTCCCGTGATGGGATCAGTCAGATGCCCACCTGGTCACTTCCCCTGAGGGGACTTGGGCTCCTCTTAGCATTGGCAGGCCGGTATAAACCCCCGGCTTGGATCGAGCTATGTCCGATGCTGCCTTAAGCCTTGTGAGGTCGCCCCAGAACTGCAGGTGAGGGCCCACTCAAACTGTGTAGCTTTCGCCGTGGAGCTACAAACTGGAAGACAAATGCAAGCCTTTGTCCTCCCACAGTCACTCACCATTCACAGAGTTTATAACAGTTTTTTTTTTCTTTCCTGGAGATTCTCCAAGAAACTTGAATAAGAGAAAGAGAGAGAGAGAGAGAGAGAGCGGTCTGCCAGAAACCAAGGCTCAGCTCCCCAGCATCCTGGGTCTTCAGCTAAGTCCAAGGGAGGGGCCTGATCAGGACCACTTCCCACCTAAACCAAGACACAGAGGCGCCTACCAGAAAACCAAGGCTCAACCCAGTAGCGTCCTAGAGTAACGGGCTGAGTCAAAAGAGGGATGCCCTCGTCAGGGCCACTTCCCTCTTACCAGAACCAGAACAAAGTCAAATCTGACCTACCTGACCCCGGGGTGAGAAGCTGAGGACTCAGATGTTGAATTTTAAGGCACTGACATGGTAGTCGATCCACTCTCCTCCGGAAGGTGGTCACTGTTTGGGGACCTGAAAATTCTTTCCTCAGGTGGTAACCCCCTCTGAGCCGGCCGTCCTTCCGGGGGAGCCCGGAGCAAGACCAACTCTCACCCAGTGGCATTAATTTCTCGCTGGGGCCTCCATTATGTTGTACCCGGGGTGTTAGAGAAAACGCCACACTTTGAGACTAATTAAGAGTCCTTTACTAGCCGGTGACCGAGAGACGGCTAATGCTCAAAATTCTCTCAGCCCTGAGGAAGGGGCTTGATTAACTTTTATACCTTGGTTTAGGAAGGGGAGGGGGGGTCTAGTTAAAACAATTTTACAGAAGTTAGGTAGTCAAAAAGTTAAAAGGATAAATGGTTACAGGAAAGTAAACAGTTCCAGGTGCAGGGGCTTTATGACTATTACAAGGTGATAGACGTGGGGCTTTGGGTGTTATCAATCAGATGAATTCTTGGGGACTGTGGATATAGCTTGCCACAGTATCTTATCAGTTAATTGCATTCTTGGATGTGCTGGGAGTCAGCTTGCACAAGTTAAGTCCTTGAGGAAGGGGCTGCCAGTGAAAGAGCCAAGATGGAGTCTGTCTGGCTCTCTTAGCTAAGGGAGAGTCTAAAAACAGAGTTAGTAAAAACCAGTTTGGGCATTACAAGTGTCCCAATTCAGTCAGGCTTTCTTCTTTCGTTCCATAAAGTACCAAATGCCTACCATGTGCCAGTCCCAGTGCTAGGCTCTGAAAATACCGCATGACCGAGGTAGACCTGGTTACTTCCTGTCTGGAGAGTACAGGGTAGCAAGGGAATCAGACATTAAACACAAGCATGCAAGTGAAAGTGTAAATACAACTTGCAGTGATTACTATGGAGAAGACAAAATGTAATAATAACGGGAGTCCTGTTTTAGATAGGATGGTCAGGGAACACTTCCTAAAGGAGACTGCACTTAAGCTGCAACTTGAGAAGTTACAGCAAGGGGCAGGGGAAATGCATTCCAGGCAGAGGGAATAGTCCCTGTGGATGCCTGAGTTGACACAGAACTTCCCGTTAGACAGGTCCAGTGTTCAAGAAGGGAGGCTTACCATGTGTCAAACACTGTGATGAGCATACAGAATATAGTGTTTGCGTACTGGTCGGTGGGACATCACCATCTAATGAGGGCCATAAACATAAGTAAGATCTTCATCTCAGCTGCTCAACTCTGCCTATGTAGGGCAAAAGCAATATGTAAATGACTGGGTATGGGAGGGTTCCAGTGAAATTTCATTTACAAAAACTGGGAGGTAGGGGTCAGGTGTGGTAGCTCATGCCTGTAATCCTAGCACTTTGGGAGATCAAGGCAGAAAGATCACTTGAGCCAGGGAGGTCCATGGTGGTACCACTGTACTCCAGCCTGGGCGACAGAGTGAGACCCCAAAAAATCCAGGAGGTGAGAGATGGGCTAGATTTGGGCTGAGGGCGGTAGTTTGCAGACTCTTGCTCTAGTCTAGATCAGTATACATTTTATGTCTTTACTCAGTGCATGTAACTCCAATATAATTGAAATAAACGTTTTACAAAACAGTGCTTACCATTGCAATATATGATAGCTTGATACTTTCTATTTCATTTTTTAAAATGTCCGTAATACTATTCACTAAATTGATCCAAGGCTCTATTCATGAGGTGTGACTAGCAGTTTGAGAAACTTGCTCAGTCATGGAGGTATGTACATTTTTAACTTGACTGGGTATTATATATACTTATATAAGGCATTTGGAACCTTTTCAGAAGGAGACAGAATATGAATAAATACCTCATTGTGTGTACGTTTTAAAATACAGATTGGATCCAATCGCTCCCCTGCTTTCCAGTCTTTTTCTAGGCCTCTCTTATCACTCACTCTGTGCTTCCTGTGCTCTAACCACTTGAAATTGCTCTGTTTCCCAAATGTGCCATGTCATGCTTTTTAAAAATGTGTCTTTTAGCCTTTTAGGTACCTTTTTATCTAGTTTGTTCCTTTTTTTTTTTTTTTTTTTGAGATGGAGTCTTGCTCTGTTGCCCAGGCTGGAGTGCAGTGGTACAATCTTGACTCACTGCAACCTCTGCCTCCCGGGTTCAAGCAGTTCTCCTGCCTCAGCCTCCTGTGTAGCTGGAGTCCCCGCCACCATGCCCAGCTAATTTTTGTATTTTTAGTAGAGATGGAGTTTCACTATGTTGGCCAGGCTGGTCTCGAACTCCTGACCTTGTGACCTCCCTGCCTCAGCCTCCCAAAGTGCTGGTATTACAGGCGTGAGCCACTGCACCCGGCCAGTTTGTTCCTCTTTTACTTTGTTTAGTGTATTCTTATTCTTCAAGGCTCATACCAATTGTTGCTCCATTAATTATTTTAACATATTTATGAGCGCTTAACTGTCCCTTCTCCTAGGTGCTGGGAATACAGCAAGGAATTAGACCAGTTCCCTGCTCTCTGGTATGGTGGGACAGATACTAAAAAGGTAAACAACTTAATTTCAGGAAGAGATAAAGACCATTAATAATATAGGGTGTATCAGTAAATTCATGTGGGCAGACGTAAGGTGCCTGGGGAAGATTTCTGAGGAGGTACTATTTTAGCTGAGACTTGAATGATGAAACAGAGGCAGATCTTTCAGCACTTAAATAATGTTGTTCCACTTCTTTCTAACTTCCATGGTTTCTGATGAGAAATCTACAGACATTTGAATTGTTGCACCTCTATAGGTGATACGTGGTTTCTATCTGGTTACTTTAGAGGTTTTTACTGTATATCTTTTAGTTTTTTCCATTTTAGCTATGATGTGCCTGGGCATGGATTTCTTTGGATTTATCATATTTGAGGGTCTCTGAACTTCCTGAATTTGGGGGGTCTCTGAACCTTTTGAATTGGAGTTTATATCTTTAGCCAAATTTGGGAAATTTCCTTCCTCCTTCCCTTGCTTCCTTCCTCTCTCCCTTCCTTTCTTCTTTCCTTCCTTTCTTTCATCTTTCTTTTTTTCCCCTTCCTTCCTTTCTTTCTTTCTTTTTTTCTTTCTTTTGACAGAGTCTCACTGCATTGCCCAGGCTGGAGTGCAGTGGCATGATCTCAGCTCACTTCAGCCTCTGCTTCCCAGGCTCAAGTGATCCTCCCACCTCAGCCTCCTGAGTAGCTGTGACTACAAGTGCACACCACTGTGCCCGGCTACTTTTTGTATTTTTAGTAGAGATGGGGTTTTGCCATGATGCCCAGGCTGGTCTTGAACTCCTGGGCTCAAGCAATTTGCCCATCTCAGCCTCCCAAAGTTCTGGGATTATGGATGTGTGCCACCACCACCAACTATTACAGCCATTATTTCTTAATTTTTTTTTTTTTTCTTAGCATTCTACTCCTCAAGATCAGGGTGTTACAACTTTTGATATTTTCCCTAGGGCCCTGAGGCTTTACTGACTTTTTTTCAGTCTTTTTATTTTTTCCCTCTTTTGTTCACATTGGGTAATGTATACTAATCTATCTTCAGGGTGACTGACTCATTTCTCTGATGACTTCATTCTGCCCTTGAGCCCATCAGTGAGTTTTTTATTCTTTTTCAGAATTGTTTTTAAATTTTTAAAAGATATTTTACTAGAGTCTATGGAAGCTAGAAGAGTTTTGTATGCTGGTTATTGCTTTTTCAGCTCTAAACTTCTTATCTGGATCTTTAAGAAATATCTTCTGTTTCTTAGCTGAGACTTTGTTTTTCCATCATTTCAAGAGTGTTTGTGATTACTTATTGGAACATTTTTATAATAGGTACTTCAAAATCTGTCTCAGAGAATTCCAACTTTTGTAGCATCTCAACATTGGTGTCTGTCAATTGTCTTTTCTAGATTGAGTTTTTTCCTAGTACTTCATATGCTGAATGATTTTGGATTGTTTCCTAGACATTTTGAATATTATAAGATGATAGGGCTTGTTTAAATCCTAAGAGGATGTTGGTGATTTTTGGCTTGGTAGGCAATCTACCTAATTAGCTTCAGGGAATTTGCAATTTGTAACTCTCTTTAGGCTATGGTTCTAATGGCAGATGAATTTTCAGAAAGTCTTTGCAGTGCTATTTGGATCTGTCCCATGTATGTGACATTCAGTGGCCAGTCTGCAATCTGGGTGTTGATTATTTCAGTTCTCAAAGCCTTTAGTATGATTTGGACCAGATCCACACGTGTGCAGCTTGGGAGTTCATGAACAACTTCATGATGTTACTTTTCTGAGCTCCTCCCCATCTGATATCTCCCCAGTACCTTCTGGTTCCACTGGGGTCTCCCTTTTGATCCTCTGATGACAAAATTGGGGCTTTAATTATCCTTCCTTGCAACACACTTGCTCTTCAAGCAGCAGGAGAACCAGGGGAGACAATGTTAACCTCACTGCCCATTCAGTGGTACTTTATTGTTAGCCAATTGGTTTTTCTCATATGCCTGTCTTATGCATTCTGTCTAGGTTTTATAGCTGCATTTTTAGTGGGAGAGAGAAGGTGGTGTTTGATTATTCCATCTTATCTGGCAACAGCTTTATAACTTAAGTTTTTCACTAAATGCCGTTGACTTTTATGGCCTGTGATTTAACTTTGATTTGAATCAAGGTATAATAAAACAATTAGAAGACTTTGCCATATAATAGATGCCCCATAAATATTAAAACATATTTTTATTGTGATTTTAAAATAGCCTAACATTTACCGTCTTAACTGATTGTAAGTGTACAGTTCAGTAGTATTAAGTATATTCACATTGTGAAATTGATCTCGAGAAGTTTTTCATCTTGAAAATCTGAAAAGTCTAACCCATTCAACAGCACCTTCTCTTTCCCCTCCTGCTAGTCCCTGGTGACCACCATTCTTCTTTGTTTCTGTGAATTTGATTCCTTTTTCTTTTTTTAATGATAAGTATTTTACATTAATTTTTTTTTTTTTTTTTTTTTTTTAGAGATTGGGTCTTGCTCTGTTGCCCAAGCTAGACTCAAACTCCTGGGCTCAAGTGGTCCACCTCAGCCTCCCAAGTAGCTGGGATTACAGGTGTGTGCTATGGCACCTGGCTGTTAAATTTGATTACGTTTGATACTTCATTTAAGTGGAATCATACAGTATTTGTCTGTTTGTGATTGGCTTATTTGACTTCACATAATGTCCTCAAGTTTCAGTGATGTAGCATATGTCAGAATTTTCTTCCTTTTGAAGGCCGAGTAATATTCCTTTGTGTGTATATACCATATTTTGTTTATCCACTCATCCATCAGTGAACTTTTGGGTTGCTTCCATCTCTTGACTACTATGAATAGCGCTGATATGAACATGGGTGTGCAAATATCTCTTAGAAATCCTGCTTTCAGTTATTTTGGATTTATACCCAGAAGTAGAATTGTTGGATCTTATGGTAGTTCTAATTTTCTTCAAGGAACCTTCATACTGTTTTCCTTAGTAGCTGTACTATTTTTCAGTTCCACCAACAATGCACAAGGGTTCAACTTCCTCTATGTCCTCAATGAAACTTGTCATTTTCTTTTTTTAAAAAAAGCAGTCGTTCTAATGGGTGTGAGGTGATATCCCATTGTAGTTTTGATTTACATTTCTCTGATGATTAGTGATGTTGAGCATCTATCTTTTCATATGCTTTGTGGCCATTTGTATAGGAGAAATGTCTGTTCCAGTACTTTGACCATTTTAAAATTGGGTATATGATTTTTTGTTATTGAGTTATAGGAGTTCTTTATATGTTCTAGATATTAACCCTTTATCCAATATATGATTTGCAAATATTTTCTTCCATTCTGTAGAAAGCCCTTTCACTCGGTTGATTGTGTCCTTTGATCACAGAAGTTTTAAGTTTGATGTATTCCCATTTGTCTATTTTTGTCTTGGTCGCCTATGCCTTTTGTGTCTTATCCAAGAAATCACTGCCAGATCTGATGTCATGAAGCTTTCCTCCTGTATTTTCTTCTAGTAGTTTTATAGTTATGGGTCTTATATTTAGATTCTTTTCCTATTTTGGGTTAATTTTTGTATAGGGTGTAAGATAGGGTCTGACTTCATTCTTTTGCATGTGGCTATTCAGTTTTCCCAACACCATTTGTTGAAGTGACTGTCCTTTTTCTATTGAGTAGTAGTAGGACCTTATCAAAGATTGTTTAACCATATATGCCAGAGTTTATCTGTGGGCCATTTCATTGGTCTGTGTCTGTCTTTATCCAGTACCACAATTTTTTGATTACTGTGGTTTGTAATATATTTTGAAATCAAGAGGCTTGAATCCTCTTTGTTCTTTTTCAAAATTATTTTGTGTATTTGGAGGCCCTTGAGATACCATATGAATTTTAGGATGAATTTTTTATCTTTGTGAAAAGTGCTATTAGGATTTTGATAGGGTTTGTATTGAATCTGTAGATTATTTTGGGTAATATGGATATCTTAACAGCCCAATAAATATTTTTTGCTGGAATGAATGCACATTGAATATGATTTTTTTGTTTGTTTGTTTGAGATAGAGTCTCACTCTGTTGCCCAGGCTGGAGTGCAGTGTTGTGACCACGGCTTATTGCAGCTTCGATGATCCAAGCTTAAACAATCCTTCCACTTCAGCCTCTCAAGTAGCTGGAACTACAGTCATGTGCCACCATGCCTAGCTAATTTTTATATTTTTTTGTAGAGACAGGGTTTTGCCATGTTTTCCAGGCTGGGCTTGAACTAGTGAGCTCAGGTGATCCACTTGCTTCGGCCTCCCAAAGTGTTGGGATTACAGGTGTGAGCCACTGCGCCCAGCCGAATGTGTCTTATACTGTTCAAATTTGTAGTTGTAGGTTTTTTTCTGTTGAACTTTCCCAACAGCTGAGCATACTTGGAAGGTATTCCTAGTGAACTAGATCCTTCCCTTAGACCTGTTTCTAGACTTAGAAATGTTAGGACCACTTACTCAGTATAATCTGGGAAGTAGTAATGCCAGTCACTGTCATCTTGGGAGCTCCTAGGTTCAGGATATAAGAAGAGAAATCTGTTTCACTTGTATATATTTATATTTTGGTAAATTCTGTTTCACTTTCTTGACTTCTGCTTTACTTTTCTGTTTAGAGATGTGATAATGGATCATCATGTTTCTACCATCAAGCCTCGAAGAATCCAAAACCAAAATGTCATTCACCGCTTGGAACGCCGGCGGATCAGTTCAGGCAAGGCAGGTACCCACTGGCACCAAGTCCGAGTGTTCCATCAGAATGTCTTCCCCAACTTCACAGTTGTCAACGTTGAAAAGCCTCCTTGTTTCTTGCGTAAATTCTCACCTGATGGACGCTACTTTATTGCTTTTTCTTCAGACCAGACATCTCTTGAAATCTATGAGTACCAGGGCTGCCAGGCAGCAGAGGACCTACTGCAGGGATACGAAGGAGAAATCCTGTCCAATGGCAATGACCAGCGGTCAGTGAATATCCGGGGCCGGCTCTTTGAACGCTTTTTTGTCCTGCTGCACATTACCAATGTTGCGGCCAATGGTGAGCACCTGAACCGGGAGTGTAGTCTCTTCACTGATGACTGCCGCTGTGTCATCGTGGGCTCAGCTGCCTACCTCCCAGATGAGCCTCACCCTCCATTTTTTGAGGTATATCGGAACAGTGAATCAGTGACCCCCAACCCACGGTCCCCTCTAGAAGACTATTCCCTCCATATCATTGACCTTCACACCGGCCGCTTATGTGATACACGCACGTTCAAGTGTGACAAGGTGGTCTTGTCACACAACCAAGGGCTGTACTTGTACAAAAACATCCTGGCCATCTTGTCTGTGCAACAACAGACCATCCATGTCTTCCAGGTGACTCCTGAAGGCACTTTCATTGATGTGCGGACCATTGGCCGCTTTTGCTATGAGGATGACCTGCTCACTGTGTCAGCTGTTTTCCCTGAGGTACAGCGGGACAGTCAGACAGGCATGGCCAATCCCTTTAGGGATCCTTTCATCAATTCCCTCAAACACCGGTTGCTGGTATATTTGTGGCGCCGGGCAGAACAGGATGGTAGTGCAATGGCCAAGAGGCGCTTCTTCCAGTATTTTGACCAACTGCGGCAGCTGCGAATGTGGAAAATGCAGCTTCTGGATGAAAACCACCTGTTTATCAAGTACACTAGTGAGGATGTAGTAACACTGCGAGTCACAGATCCATCACAGGTATGAGGTACACTCCTGCCTTTTACTTGTCTAATCTCCTTGGCAAAATGGGAAGGTTTCTCTGTTTGTTTATAGCCCACCCCTCAGAAATAGACATTTCACGTAGTCTGAATTGATATCCTAGGGCCCAAACTTAAAATCAGCTCCATTTTTCTCTGGTCATATGTATTTATCTGGACAAATGGAAGCTAAAGTTCAAGTCATTGACAGGAAGATAGTCACCTCTGATTACTACCCTAACTCTTCTGCAGAGTATTTTCAGTACTCATGAGATGGAAGCCCAAATGCTACAAGGTCAAGGTTTGGACTACTTATGGATAACCTCCCTTGATTTTGTAAGACTGTATTATTGGTCTGGCTGTTTTAGTTCTGGCAATGAGAATGAGTACACCATACCAAAAAGAAAATTCTCTAAGTAACCCCACTTTCATCCTTAAATGGTTAATGTCAATTTACTTCTCTGTAAAGTACTATAAAGTCCTATTTATAAGGTAACTAATAAGTGCATTCATTTGGCAGAATTAAGTTTTGTGACTTTACCCTGACCTTGCCCACATGCTGGGACATAGGTTGTAGAGCAGTGAAGAGGTCAAAAGGAAGCTGAAATTTATGATCCGTGAGGAGAGTCATCAGGACAGCAAATCTTAAAGGTTTTTCAGTTTGGGGGAAGAATGCCTTTCTTTCAGTAGGGGGAAGAAGCATTTCCCAAAAGGGAATAAGGTGATATAAAGAGCACAGAACTGCTAAGATTTGGGGATTGAAAAACTATGTTGAAATTAAGGGTAATTTGGGCATTTGTCTTTGAAAACCTCTCCACTTCAGTGTTGACCAAGTTAGACAACTACCTTTCTACACCTATGTCTCCCCATTCTCCTGTTTGCAGATTGTCTCCTTAGACACTAGTTTGGAAATTCAGAACAACCAGCAAATCAGTAAACCACGAAGTCAACTGAGTTTGGTATCTCTTATTGACCTGTAGCTGATTCTACCATTAACAGATTCTGTACAGGGTATCGTGTCCTAAAACCTCACCAGCTACCTGTGGTAAAATATCTTCTAACATTTTCCTTCTGAATTGTAGTTTATGTGTTCTAAAAAGAAGTAGGGGAGTAATATGGTTAGAGATCATTTGTTGTGGATTTTTTTTCTTCCCTATCAATGATGAAGTCACCCATTGAGCAATCATGGGTGAGCATCTGGTTCATCTTATGCATCATGGGATCCTGCAGTCAAGTCCTTGACTTCTCTACTCTCCTGTTCTTTATTTCCCAGTCTGCCTTGGAGGGAAGGCTAGTAAATGTTTGAGTAATTCTATATCCATGTAATTATGAGAGATTCTGGTGAAACCCTGATAGGATCAAAGTGTTGTCCAGGGCCATAGAAAGGACATGAATCAATCTTTTGTTTAGGTTTGAGCTATAATTACCTTTTTATTTTGGAGGGAATAAGTTGTCTGTGACTGCTGCCTTTGAGATTATCCTTTTCTTCTTTGCTAAAAGGTGGCCTAGTTTTTTCTGGTAGGTACAATAAGTTGTAGCTAATGACATAACTGGGTTCTATGCTTTGCTTACACAGTTTGTAACTCTAAACCCAATCTTTCTGCCCCAGTTGTCCTTTGCTCTCCTCCTCCAGTTTAATTTGATAGGTTCCAATAAGATTAATAAGTAAAAAGTACATCCAAACACAAGGCCTCGGTAATATTATGAGTACTATTCTCAGGTTACCCTCTAGCCTCTTTAATTTACAGCCAAATTTAATTTGCAGGTGACTGCAAAAGCCATGTAATATAAGCTCTGAGAAGGACTAATTACTAGTAAAACAGGTGGGTCGAATGGCTCCAGAAATTGGTAATGGAGATTTAAACTCAATCATAGGAGGCTGGAGTACTAATCCTAGTGGTCTGAGAACTTCTAGAGTCCTGTCAGAAGTAGTTGATTCACACTGCTACATTCACTGTAACAAAAATTAGGGGTTCTTGGAGCTTCCTTGTTAGGCAGAGCAGATCACTGGAGGTTTAAAGGAAGAGGGCTAGCCACCAAGGGGCCCATTTAGAAAAAGCAGTAACTCTGCCACCTATGGCATTTGAATGCTTTTCAGGTTCACCCTCTGATCTTAATTGCTACAAATCTCAAATGTGTTTTACAAATGCTCTTGGCTGAAAGAACATTTATGAGGAAAAAAGTGGAAAACGCCTATCTGATTTTTCATTTGTTCAGCAGTACCCTGCTTGTATACAACTTGCCAGGGCAGTTTAGAACTCGATGTACTTAAGGTGTCTCTCTGCATGTTAGAAATATTAAGAGGGAAAAATAAATACCCCTAAATTGAACTTTCAACTGTACACTTACAAGAGAAAATAATTTGCCAACAGGCAGCTCCAGGCTGCAAATCACTTTTTCAGCAGGAAAGAAAATTAAATCTGGCATTTTAAGAAGTGCTTTTTATTTCAGGGTGGGTTGGGGAGCGAGTAGGGAATAAACACTTGGAAGGAAAAATATTGAATTTGCACAGTTTGAAATGAAAATTTAAAACCTTTTTATACTTATATGCTGGCCATCTCAGTAATTCTAGCAGCACAGATACAGTGGAAAATCTGGCAACATTGAGGCTCTCAGTTGATAAATCCCACTGTTGCTTCCTATTTTCCCAGAACCACTTGGAGCCATGTTTCCACCTTAGTGGTAAAGCCGAGGTGTTTGCTTGTTGTTGTTGTTGTTGTTGTTGTTGTTTTTGGAAAATTCATGCCTTGAATTTTCAGCCAAGTAATAAGTGCTAAGTTTCCTACGCATGGCATTATACTCAGCTGTCCCATACCTCTCTCTCTTTTCTTCTGCAGGCATCTTTCTTTGTGGTGTACAATATGGTGACGACAGAGGTGATTGCTGTGTTTGAGAATACATCAGATGAGCTTTTGGAGCTCTTTGAGAACTTCTGTGACCTTTTTCGTAATGCTACCCTGCACAGTGAAGTTCAGTTTCCCTGCTCAGCTTCTAGCAACAATTTTGCAAGGCAGATCCAGCGCCGGTAAGCTGTTCCACCAGACTCAACAGTCTTTTCTTTAGAAAAATTGGTGTTAGGCCAATAGCTGTTGTCTCTAGGAAACCTCTTATTCTGTCTGTCCACATAGCTTTGGTTATTCTGCTTATTATAACCCCTTGTTTCTTCCTGAACTTCTTTCTGTCTCAGCACCTGTAGAATTATTTGTGCATTGTCTGTGATTCTTTCTAGACTGCATGTGAGCTGCAGAAAGACAGAGGCTGTGTCTTCATGTATTGCTATATCTTCAGTGGTACACTGTCAAGCACTTATGTTTATTGAATGAATAAGAAAATCATTTTAGAAACTTTTGGTTAAACATGATATGTTGAACACATGTATTTATCTTTGCTCCATCCCTAAGTCCCACTCAAATGACAATAAAGGAATAAGAGGTATAAACATTAGAGGTATAAACAAAGTATAGAACTCTTTGTTCTGTAAGAACAAAGAGAATAGGAGAGGAGATGATGGGAGATAGGACATATTAACAAAGTTTTAAAAGCTGAAAAGCCAGTGAATGAATGAGAACTGACTTAGCATACCTCAGAGAGCAGAAACTCAAGGCTGCAGAGCTAAGTCATCAAGAAACAAGCTGCCTTACACCAGATAACTTGGGAAAGGGTCAGGAAGTTGGAGGTCCCAGGTGCCTCTGAAAATACTTCTGAAGGTATCTGTGAGGTAGGCTGAAATGAGGAGGATTGGTAAAGTTCTTAAAAGGAGCAGTCAGACCCTCTAGATCCCTTTTCTAGGTCTACATAGCCAAGTGACTATCTCTTCTTTTACCTCTGCAAAAGGCTGGAAGTTTATTCTCTGAACAGATTGAACCAGATGGGCTCTGGTCTCAAGTTCATGAGGTATATCTAAAAGTAGGGATGAGACATGTTATGCTAAAAACAGGAATTAGGTGAAAGTTGACATACTGAAGGGTAGGAGTCCTATCCCCCTTCCCAGATATGGCATCCAGGCTTGTACTCTCCAGGCAGGAGGTTAGAGATTCTTCCCTAGGAAAACTGACCAACACAAAGAGGAGATTTACATATATTGACACCTGGAGTCCCTTTACAAATCACTTAGGTCACCCTAAATATATACCCCACAGTCAGCAAGGCCCTCCTATGAGCCAGAGCTTCTGATAATTGCCATAGTGCATTATTATGAAACAAATGGTTCCTTTGGGCCAAGGGCCTAAATTAAATCCTACTTTAGTTAGACAGTGCCTCATCATATTTCACATCCTTAAATTGTTTCCCTTACTTTAGACAGTAATGGAAAATACCTGTTTTAGGTCCAAAGATAGATCAGACCACAGTGAGTGGATGAATCAGAATAAGCATTACTGCCACTGGGAAAAACATATCTCTTAATGCAGTGGCATCATGTTTATATAAAAAGATAGTACTCAATTACAGATAGATGGCTATTGAATTCAGACAACTGTCTTGCGTTTTCCTTTTTCTTTGGTTCACACAAATCTTCTGCCTTAGTATCTCTTCAGTATAGAAGAATTTTTAGATGCAGAACATGGGTCAGATTTTGCTTTTTTTCATTTTGGGATGAATTTTCTTTTAAAATTTGCTTCAAAATTAAGCAGATAATTAACAAGTAACAGTCTGAGTGTGGTGGCTCATGCCTGTAATCCCAACACTTTGGAAGTCCAAGCCAGGTGGATTGCTTGAGTCCAAGTTTCAAGACCAGCCTAGGAAACATGACAAAACCCTATCTTTACAAAAAATGCAAAAAAAAAAAAAAAAAAAAATAGCCGAGTGTGGTGGTGCATGCCTGTAGTCCCAGCTACTAGGGAGGCTGAGGTGGGAGGATCACTTGAGCCTGGGAGGCAAAGGTTGTAATGAGCCATGAGCATGCCACTGCACTCCAGCCTGGGTGACAGAGCAAGACCCTGCCTCAAAAACAAAAAACAAAAAGAACAAAAGATGGGTACACTCACTCAAAACATCAAAGAAGTCACTAGATGATAAGCTCCATGAGGGCAGGGATTTTGTCTGTTATGTCTACTGCCATATCCACAACACCAAGGCCAGTGTCTGCCCTGTGGGAGGAGCTCTGTAGGTATTTGCTGAATGAATGAAGTTATCCAGGAATTAGAAGGAACTCTGTTTTCCAAAAATTATTTCAGAATACATCTGGAATTAAACAAAATTACAGAAAGCTCCAGAAAAAACTGAGGAGAAAGGTTGTATATTCCAGCTCAGTGATCTTCAGAATTTTACTGTACCACCAAAAGATTTTGAAAAATTGGGGGTACCCTCACATATTTTTAAGTCGATTTTTAAATTTTTTTTTCCTGTTACTACTAAATTTAAGCAGTTGCAGAGGATGCTATTTTCAGTGGATATTAAACATTGATACTTAAAGTTATTCCAACACTTTAAAATATAACAAAAGGATGCTAATTACCGTAGTAATTTGGTATTCAAGTATTTTATATGAAAAATTCACAGCAAATTATACCCATAATTGGGAATTTTACATTGTTTCTTCTGATTCTCAAATTTATATGTCTCTTCTGTCTCCCCAACAGAATTGTATGCTAACATATTTTGTTGACCACTAATCATACTTTGCTACATTGAAAATATAATGTATATATACATTGAAAAATTTTTTTTTAATAGTATTTATTGATCATTCTTGGGTGTTTCTTGGAGAGGGGGATTTGGCAGGGTCATAGGACAATAGTGGAGGGAAGGTCAGCAGATAAACATGTGAACAAGGGTCTCTGGTTTTCCTAGGCAGAGGACCCTGTGGCCTTCCGCAGTGTTTGTGTCCCTGGGTACTTGAGATTAGGGAGTGGTGATGACTCTTAAGGAGCATGCTGCCTTCAAGCATCTGTTTAACAAAGCACATCTTGCACCGCCCTTAATCCATTTAACCCTGAGTGGACACAGCACATGATTCAGAGAGCACAGGGTTGGGGGTAAGGTCACAGATCAACAGGATAAGAATTTTTCTTAGTACAGAACAAAATGGAGTCTCCCATGTCTACCTCTTTCCACACAGACACAGTAACAATCTGATCTCTCTTTCTTTTCCCCACATTTCCCCCTTTTCTATTCGACAAAACCGCCATCGTCATCATGGCCCATTCTCAATGAGCTGTTGGGTACTCCTCCCAGATGGGGTGGCGGCTGGGCAGAGGGGCTCCTCACTTCCCAGACGGGGCAGCCGGGCAGAGGCGCCCCCCACCTCCCGGACGGGGCGGTGGCCAGGCAGGGGCTGCCCCCCACCTCTTGGACTGGGCAGCTGCTGGGCGGAGACGCTCCTCACTTCCCAGATGGGGCGGCTGCCAGGCGGAGGGGCTCCTCACTTCTCAGATGGGGCGGCCAGGCAGAGATGCTCCTCACCTCCCAGACGGGCTGGCGGTGGGGCAGAGACACTCCTCAGTTCCCAGACGGGGTCGCGGCCGGACAGAGGCGCTCCTTACATCCCCGACGGGGCGGCCGGGCAGAGGCACTCCTCACATCCCAGATGGGGCGGCGGGGCAGAAGCGCTCCCCACATCTCAGACGATGGGCGGCCGGGCAGAGACGCTCCTCACTTCCTAGATGTGATGGCGGCTGGGAAGAGGCGCTCCTCACTTCCTAGATGGGATGGCGGCCGGGTGGAGACGCTCCTCACTTTCCAGACTGGGCAGCCGGGCAGAGGGGCTCCTCACATCCCAGACGATGGGCGGCCAGGCAGAGACGCTCCTCACTTCCCAGACGGGGTGGCGGCCGGGCAGAGGCTGCAATCTCGGCACTTTGGGAGGCCAAGGCAGGCGGCTGGGAGGTGGAGGTTGTAGCGAGCGGAGATCACGCCACTGCACTCCAGCCTGGGCAAGATTGAGCACTGAGTGAGCGAGACTCTGTCTGCAATCCCAGCACCTCGGGAGGCCGAGGCGGGCAGATCACTCGCGGTCAGGAGCTGGAGACCAGCCCGGCCAACACAGCAAAACCCCGTCTCTGCCAAAAAATACAAAAACCAGTCAGGCGTGGCGGTGCGCGCCTGCAATCCCAGGCACTCGGTAGACTGAGGCAGGAGAATCAGGCAGGGAGGTTGCAGTGAGCCGAGATGGCGGCAGTACAGTTCAGCCTCGGCTTGGCATCAGAGGGAGACTGTGTAAAGGGGAGAAGAGGGAGAGGGAGACCGTGGAAAGGGGAGACAAGAGTGAGAGGGAGCTGAAATTTTTTTTTAATTCTTGTGAACACATGGTTCTAAATGCTAAATTTTATAGTAATCTTTTCCCAGCAATCTTTTGGTAAAAATCAATGAAATTGGGACCCTTATAGGTCAAAATAAATGTTCAAGAATAAAAATGGTCACCAAGGATCATGAGTCATTTCAGGAAAGCCTTTATCCTAAAAGTGACCAACACAAAACAAACAGAATAAAGAATAAAGAGTAAGGAAACAGGTCTGGCATGGTGGCTTATGCCTTTTATCCCAGCACTTTGGGAGGTTGGCGTGGACTGATCGCTTGAGCTCAGGAGTTCAAGACCAGCCTGGGTAACATGGCTGGTCTCCGAAAAAACAAAAAAATTAGCTGGGTGTGGTGGCATGCGCCTGTCGGCTCAGCTACTTGGAGGGGCTGAGGCAGGAAGATTGCTTGAGCCTGGAAGGCGGAGGTTGCAGTGAACCGAGATCAAGCTACTGCATTCCAGAGTAGGTGACAAAGTAAGACCCTATCTCAAAAAAAAAAAAAGAAGAAGAAAAAAAAAACAATGTTACATTCGCTGAATCAATTGAAAGTATAAAAACAGGAACATTCCAGCCGGGTGCGCGGTGGCTCATGCCTGTAATCCCAGCACTTTGGGAAGCTGAGGCAGGCGGATCATGAGGTCAGGAGATGGAGACCATCCTGGCTACCATGGTGAAACCCCGTCTCTTCTAAATAAAAAAAAATACAAAAAAAATTAGCCGTGTGTGATGGCGGGCGCCTGTAGTCCCAGCTACTCGGGAGGCTGAGACAGGAGAATGGCGTGAACCCAGGAGGCGGAGCTTGCAGTGAGCCGAATTTGCGCCACTGCACTGCAGCCTGGGTACAGAACGAGACTCCAACTCAAAAAAAAAAAAAAACCAGGAACATTCCTAGAACAATGAGAAACTTTTGGAAATTTAAAATGTGTTAGATGTAGTGGAGGAACTCTCCAAAAAAGTAGAGTAAATAGATAAGAGAAGGGACCTAGAAGAGAAACATTTAAAAAAAAAATAGAGTACCTGCCTAGGAGGCCAAATATCTGTCTAATTCCTGAAGAAGCAGTGGAGAACACAAAGTGGAGAAATAATGGGATAGATTCCCAGGACTGAAGAACATGAATTTTTAGATTGGCAGGACCATCCAGTTCTGGAGCTGGCTTGTCCTGGCTCATGAGATCTGACTGTTAAACTTTCAGGAATTTTTGCAAGCTGATTGTTAAACAAAGTCGTTATTAAAACTTATTTCCAAATTATTTCCGATTTTACTGTTACTTAGGCTCTTGTGGTTTTTGCATCTATTTTATCTATATGGTGTAAATACTATATAATAAGGTGCTACAGCTCTTCTCTTGGCAACTGCACATTGAGTAATGTCACATTGGTACCTTGGCAGGAAGATTTACACCACAGAAAGCAGGAAGCACTACAAATCATGGCTTTTTTCCCCCAAGAAAAATTAAACCTTTATCAGCGCACCACTGGATTCATCTAGTATCCAGTACAGTCAATGAAAAAGACCCACACACAGAGGCATATCATCATGAAATTTTGGAACATTGGTGATAAAGAGAACATTGTGAAAACTTTGAGAAAGAACATACATTTCACATGTAAAAACAATAAGTCATCATAATGACATCAGACATCAATAATACTGAAAGCTTGAAGTCATTAAAATCATGCCCTCAGAATTCTATGAAAAGGGTGATTTGCAATTTAGAATTCTATATCCAAATAATAGGGTGGAATGGAGACATTTTCAAACCTGTGAAGTCTGAAAAGATTACCTCTCATGTACCTTTTCTAAGGAAGCCTATGGAGATGTACTTCAATAGACCACAAAAGAATGGTATGTAGGAAATAGTCTGACACTGGAGAGAGGCAAAGAGAGTCTTGAGGATAATGATAAAGGGAATTTGCAGAATGACTGTCCACCTGTCAGACCATTTGGAAGCACGAAAGTGGAGGAGTCCAAGAAAAGTGTGTCCAAGGAAAAAACAAAATTGTTAGAATACTGGTAGGTTTGAGTATATTAAGAAGAGATTGCCAGTTTTCCTAGTAGAGTTGTCAGCATAGGCTTCACTGAGGAGGTGGTGGTTGAGAAAGCTTTTGAAGGAAGTCAGGGAGCAAGCCATGTGGATAGCAGGAAGAAGAATATACCCAGCAAAAGGAATAGCATATCTAAAGGCCCTGAGGTAGATCTGATGCATTTGAGGGACAACAAGAAGGCCAGGGTGGCTGGACTGGAGTGAGCGAGGGGCAGAGTACTTGGAAATAGGGTCAGAGACCTGATTTGGGGTGGGGAGGTAGGCAGATACATAAGGCCATTCTATGGCTTTGGCTTTAACTATAGATGAGGTAGATTGTGTCATGTTTGAGCAGAGGAGTGATGTAGTCTCACTTATGTTTTAACAGAGTCACTCTGGCTGTTCTGTTAAGAGTAGAATGTAGGCAGGTAGGGTGGCAGCAGGGATACCAGTTAAGAGACTATTGCAGTGATCCAGTAAGTAATAGCTATGGCATTCTGTTTCCTGCCACTAGGATTTAAGTTCTTTACTGTCAACTGATGTATCCTAAGCACCTAGAAGAGTGTCTGGCACATACCAAGTCCTCTGTGATTGATTATTTGTTGTTTAACAGTGGTGGCTTGGATCAGAGTGGTAGCATTGGGAATAGTAAGTAATTATATTTTCAATGTATTTTGCAGGTTAGAGCCCAATTGATTAATGGAGGATGGTCTATGGGCCATGAAAGAACAAAGTCAAAGATAATTCTAATGTTTCTGGATTGAACAGCTTGCAAGAGAGAGTTGCCATTAAACTGTAAACCTGTGGGTAGAGCAGGTTTAGGGGAGAAGATCAAAAGTTCTGTAAGTAGAGATATCTCATAGTTTCTCAAAGGAGTGTTAGCTGTGTCACAGCCACCTGACGAGTCAAGTACAATAGGGACTGAAAATTAACTTATTGGAGTTAGCAATGTGCAGGTCATTGGTGACCTTGACAAGAGTAGTTTGAGTGAGATAGTAGGGGTGAAAGCCTCTTTAGGGTGGGTTTAAGAAAGAATGGGAGGAGAAAAGTTGGACAGTATGGAAAAGAGTTTTGAGGAGTTTTATTACAATGGGAGCTGAAAAGTGGTGCATTAGCTGGAGGGGTAGGTAGTGTTAGATTTTGTTTTTGTTATTTTTTAGATGAGAGGGAAAAAATGGCATGTTTGCATACAGATGGGACTGATCCTGTAGAGAAGGGGAAACAGTTTAGGAAAGTGGAAGAACTGCTTAAGTGTATGAGAGGGGTTGGGTGCTAGTGCACTGGCAGAGGGATTTGCCTTGCATGGGAGCGCAGAAAGTTATATATGTACAAATGTTGGGTAGATGTGCTGATGGGGGCTTTAAAAAAGTTATCTTCTGCTAACTTCCATTTGTTAGTAACAAAGTAAGCGATGCCATTGGCTAAGAGTGAGCATGGAGGAGGGGAGATGAAATAGTCATGAAAGAGCATGGGAGTCTGGAAGGACTATGGAAATGCAGCATGAGTGCCCTGCAGCATTAAGGGCCCACATAAAGTTCATGGCCATAAGTTTAAAGTGAGCATTGTATGTTTTTTCTACAGCCATGGAGAAAACCAAGTAGTACAGGCACGGAATAGGAAGAGTTGAGCTTAACTGGAGGCTGTAGTTTTTCTAAGCAAGTACCACAAAGCAAGAGAATTTAAGATTGTTGAGGATGTGTGCAACGGAGTGATTTAGTAATTTCATCTATGTGGAAGGAAGGAAGAGAGGATATGATGAGTGTAGGATGGGAAGAAGTTGGTAGAATCAGTGGATTATAGGTCCTGTGGGGGTTAAAGGATTGCTGAAGTTGGGATGAATAGAGGGAGTGAGCTGGAAAGATGGGAGAGAAGATGGTTGGAGAGCGTGACGGTCTACCCTGTGACTAGAGAGGGTTTGCAGTCGTTGGTAATGGTGAGGTTGAGGGTGTGACTGTGGAATAAGCAGTTGAGGTTGAGAGGAGGTCAAGGAACTAGCAGGAGGCTATGGTGCTGTAAAGAACCTTTCTGAGGATTTTGAAATTACCGAGAACTAAGAGAGGTATAGCTGGACAGAGTGACACTGGGGCAGGAACTAAAGTGTGAAGACATCGAAGAGAGTGACTGCTTTTAATCAGTGGGGAGCATGGAGAGTGGAGGTGGTAGGTGCTGTGGAGGAAGAGGAACTGTTTCAACTTGTAGATTATCACAGATGCTTTGATTTGTGGTCATCACAAAGCTGTGAGCCAGCCCCCATCATTTTACCTTTGAAAGCCAGGGAGTCGGTGAGTCAGGCAGGGCTAAGGTGTAGATGAGATGGTGCCAGGTCTTGCTGAAAACCGAAGTGCCCAGGATCTTTTATTTCAGCTCAAATGAAAGGGAAAAAATAAGCTCTATTTGGCCCAAGATTTATTTTTATGATTTATACTGAGGCTGTGAAAATTACTGTCAGTAGGAGTAATGGAAAAGCAGTGTTGCTTGCTAGGCTTTCTTTAGGGGGAGCAGAAAAGTGTTCATGTCCATCTAATACCATAGGTTAATAGTGAAAATAAAAATTACCCCCAACTAATTAATCTTTGTGGTCTCATGAAAGTTAGGAACACTGAAGTTTTTTATTCCATTTGTTTCAGGGATGAGATATTATACTTTTCTCCCAGACTAAAAAAAATTGATATCCCCTTGATTGTTGAACCATATGATATGCTTGAATATAGAGGTTTAAAAAATATATACTGATAGACAGTTGACATTCTTTCTAAGAAGCTGTAGGATAGTGAAAAATAAGGAAAAAATTCAAAATGTCATTATACAACTATTAACATTTTAATGTGTTTCTGCCAGTCTTTGCTTTAAGTGTGAGTTTTTGTTTTCTTTGTGTTTTTAGCCATATTATATAGACAGTATTGTATCCTACTTCTTTTATTTGTAAATGTGATAAACATTTCCCCTGTTACCATATAATCTTTGAAAATGGTAGTTTTCCATTAGCTTTTTAATTTTTTCTTCCTCTATAAACAATGCTGTATGAATGTACACAGAGATTTTTCTGCATGTAGGAGTGATTCCTTAGGGTAAATTTCCAGAAGAATAGAAGTACTTGTCAAAGAGTATTAAATTTAGTTTTGTGGCCAGGCACTGTGTCTCATGCCTGTAATCCCAGCACTTTGGAAGGCTGAGGTGGGTGGATCGCTTGAGGCCAGGAGTTGAAGACCAGTCTGGGCAACATGGCGAGACCCTGTCTCTACAAAAAAAAAAAAAAAAATTAGCTGGGTGTGGTGGCACGCACCTGTCGTCCTGGCTACTTGGGAAGCTGAGGTAGGAGGATTGCTTGAGCCCAGGAGAGGTGGAGGTTGCAGTAAGCTGGGGTTGTGCCACTGCCCTCCAGCCTGGGCAACACAGTGAGACCCTGTCTCAAAAAATAAAAATAAAATAAAATTTAGCATTTGTGACAGTGATGAGAAATAACTGTTCTGTTATTATTTTCAAAGATAAGTCAGATATATGACTCTATGTATGTTACTATTCTTCTAGATACTGGTGTCTCTGCAGGAATATAGGTAGCTAGTTTCCAAATTTTATTTAAACAAACAAAGAATGCGTAATTTATTTGTGAAAGGCTTGCTAGAAGTTGGTGATCCCAAGAAGAGTCAGAGGCTGCTTCTGTTCAGGGTTCTCTGTAACTCCTTCCTAATTCAGTCTAAGGCAATTATTTGGGGAAAATAAGTTCTTGACCTTTTTCCCCAGTTGAGCTGTTATTAGAAAAGAGTAGAAATAGTTGCCATAAACTAGTTATACTCATTTTAAACTTGTTTGTAGAGTCTTTGTTAACTTTTCTAAAGTAGGGCCGGGTGTGGTGGCTCATATCTGTAATCCTAGCATTTTGGGAGGCCAAGGCGGGCAGATCAGTTGAACCCAGGAGTTCAAGACCAGCCTGAGCAACATGGCAAAATCCCATCTCTATAAAAAATACAAAAATTAGCTGGGTGTGGTGGCACGTGCCTGTAGTCCCACCTACTCTGGGGGCTGAGGTGGGAGGAACACTTGAGCCTGGGAGGTCAAGGCTGCAGTGAGCTGAGATCACACCACTGTACTCCAGCCTGGGCAACAAAGCGAGACCCTGTCTCAAAAAAAAAAAAAAAAAAACCCAAAACCCAAACACATTTCTAAAGTAATTTGTTGTTTTCCATTTTTAGTTATATGTTTTGCTTTTTAAAAGTATTTGTAGCTGGCCAGACTTGTAATGTGTGAGAGACAGTTCTATCTTAATTCATTACCTAGGTTTTAATTTGTATTTAAAGAATGAGTTGTTCTTAGACATATATTTGTCAATTTAAAATTCAAGACAGCTTTGTGTACTCACTAACAAAGCCTTCCTCACCGGTCCTTTCATTTAGGTTCAAAGACACTATTATAAATGCCAAGTATGGAGGGCACACAGAGGCAGTACGCCGGCTGCTGGGTCAGCTCCCCATCAGTGCTCAGTCTTACAGCGGTAGCCCCTATCTGGATTTGTCTCTCTTCAGTTATGATGACAAGTGGGTATCTGTCATGGAGCGGCCCAAGACTTGTGGAGATCACCCAATCAGGTACAGTGTCACTGCTATAGCTACAAACTGCTCAAGGGCTGAAGATGGCCTGCTTTCTTTTTCTCTTTTTCTGGACATCATTTGATTGTGACTGTGACTCGTACTCATGGGTAAGGTTGAAAAGGCAGGCTATTTCTATAATGCAGTGAGAGCTGTGATCATTTAGGTGCTAGTCTCCTAAATTATTCCTACTCTTTGCTTCTCATCAGAACATCTAATTCAGATAAGTGTTGTCCTCTTTTAAAGGTATCCAGGGGAGGAAGCTGTACTTTCCCATTTAATAATCTAATACCATTCCATAATAGTTTTTGACATTGAGACTTTATAATTATGTATCTAACACAAATTATTTTATCCCGCCATGTTACCTCATAGAAAAAATAGCAGAGACAATTTGGGGACCTGCTGACAGATTTAGAAGAAACTCATGCTTCCTCACTTGGAGGAATTTTGGAATGTAGACTACTGTGTTATTGTTAGAAGTTTGAAACTGACGTCTTACAAGAAATTCTTTCCTCACAGAAGTCTAGTTCACAGACCCAACTGTCACTACATATATGGAGCCTGTTCTGTGTGCTGTAATAATATTAGGGGGAGGAGCTGGAATTATTGTCACTAGTGGAGTTATCTCAAGGGGGGTGTGTTCCTGAGGCTATAGGCTGGAGCTTGGAAGGTCTTTTTCACACAGAAACAGTGGTAGTTAGATCTTTATGATAGATATATTTCATCATCCAGTCTCATTGTGTATTAAATGTGCCTGTGTGACATAGTCTGTATAATTAATCACCATTTATAATATTTCCTTTGGGAAATTAGAGTCAAGTTCCAAAAACTAGTTAATATTTTTTTTATTATGGAAAGTTTTAAACGTATACAAAAAGTAGAAGAGCATAATAAACCTTCATGTACCCATCACCCACTTCAACAGTTACCAGCTCGTGGCCACTCCTGTTTCAGCTATTTCCATCACGACCCCTACTCCCTCCCCTTCCCACCACTGTCCTGGGTTATTTTAAAGGAAATCCAAGCTATCCTAGCAAAACAAGTAACACCATTACCCCATCTTTAAAAAATTAACAAAAAATCTTTAATATCTTCAAATATCTAGTCAGTTTTTATGTATCCCTGTTGTCTTATAAATATTCTTTTTATAGTTAATTTGTTTGCATCAGATTCAAACAAGGTTCATGCATTGCATTTGGTCCCTTCGGTCTTTTTTTTTTTTTTTTTTTTTTTTTTTTATAAGACGGAGTCTCTGTCTGTTGCCCAGGCTCGAGTGCAATGGCACGATCTCGACTCACTGCAACCTCTGCCTCCCAGGATCAAGCAATTCTCCTGCCTCAGCTTCCCAAGTAGCTGGGATTACAGGCGCCCACCACCACACCTGGCTAATTTTTGTATTTTTGTAGAGACGGGGTTTCACCATGTTGGCCAGGCTGGCCTCGAAATCTTGACCTCAGGTGATCCACCCACCTCAGCCTCCCAAAGTGCTGGGATTACAGGCTTGAGCCACCGTGCCTGGCCAGTCATTTTTATTCTGTAGGTTCTTCTTTCCCCTTTTATTTTCTTTGCAATGAAATTATTGAGGAAACCAGGTTGTTTTTCCTCTAGCATTCTCCAAATTCTAGACTTTGCTTGTTACATCCCTGGGATAGTATTTACTGTATTTCTTATTTACCCATATGTCCTGTAAAGCGGGAATGAGATTTAGAAGGTCAAACAACCCATTTTAAATTATAATCCCTTTGTGTTTGGGGATTGTGGGAGTAAGGCTATGTGTTTTTTATACATAAAAAAGATGGGCCTTATCTGATATGAGTCAAGTACCATGAGATACATTTCTCTCTCCTTTCTGACTTTCCTACCTTTCTAATTGGAGAAGATGAATCTAAAATTTGGAAATGGTATTGCTCCTGAATAAAGGGGTTTCTCTTATAATTCTTCTTTATATTTTTAATTTAAAATGAGAAATATAAGGATATTAACAGCATTTGAAGAGAGAATGCCATTCCTGCAATATCTGTATTGTATAATCCAGTCTAGTCTTTGTCAATATGCATATTTACATTTACACAGTTGTAATCACGGTTAGCATCATTTTTTGTAGTCTGTTTTTATTTTATAAACGTTATTTCATGTTATTATACATAGTCCTCACAATTACAGTCCTAATGAAGGCGTATTATTCTATCAAATAGATGTACCATGATTTATTTAACTATTCCCCCATCACTGAGCATTTATTCTCTTTCTACATTTTTACATTAAAACAAATGCCATAGTAGTCATCTTTATTCATGTACTAGTTATTTCACTTAAATCAAATTCTGAGGATATAAATTCTTGGATATGAGATTATTGAGTCAAAAGGTATAAATATCTTTAGGTCTGCTTATATATTGAATTTCCAAAAGGAGATTATAGGACTTTTTAATTCAGGGCTTTTTATTTTCTGGAATCCTCCCTGCCACCCCACCCCGACCTGCCTCAGCCATTCAGCCTCCACTCACTAATCATCTGTAGTTCCCCAAACCACAGGACATTTATTTTGCATATGGCAAAGGCATTTAAATACTAGGAGGGATGGAAGCATCTTTAGTCTCACATATTAGAAGAAAAATTAAACACTACTTAGTATTTTGTTTCTGTGCATGAAAAAGAACCTTTTAAAAGAATTTATTCTGGCCGGGCGCGGTGGCTCACGCCTGTAATCCCAGCACTTTGGGAGGCCGAGGCGGGCGGATCACGAGGTCAGGAGATCGAGACCATCCTGGCTAACACGGTGAAACCCCGTCTCTACTAAAAATACAAAAAATTAGCCGGGCGTGGTAGCGGGCGCCTGTAGTCCCAGCTACTCGGGAGGCTGAGGCAGGAGAATGGCGTGAACCCGGGAGGCGGAGCTTGCAGTGAGCCGAGATCGCGCCACTGCACTCCAGCCTGGGCGACAGAGCGAGACTCCGTCTCAAAAAAAAAAAAAAAAAAAAAAAAGAATTTATTCTTAAATATGAAAAACTCAAAGGTGAGCCTAGATCCACACTGTCCAATATGGTAGACACTAGCCACATGTGGCAATTGGGTACTTAAAATGTGGCTAGTTCAAGTTGAGATGTGCTCAAGTGTCAAATACATAACAGATTTCCAAAAAAAAAAAAAAAAAAACTCACTAATAGTTTGATATTGATTATAGGTTGAAATAATATTTTAGATATATTGGAGTAAATGAAATGTATTATTAAAATTTCCCCTTTTTATTTTTATTTTTTTAATATGGCTACCTGAAAATTTAAAATTACACACGTGGCTTGCATTTCATTTTTAGCCCTGGCCTAGACAACCTTGAGGCAGGAACGTCTGGAAGCGGAGAGGCTATAATTAAGGCTGTAAAACTGAGTCATCTCAGGAAAGAGAAATGACCAGTGACTCAGTGCAACATAGTAAAATTTATAATCACTCTTCACTAAATGAGCTGGTCATTCCAGGGTGATTTTATACTTCTGATAACCTGGGGCTGATATAAGAGGCGATTTCATTAATAAGGTAAAATAATGAGTTGCCACATTCCCCTGCTGTCTAGATTTCAGTTCGATGGTGAATATCAATCCTGTCCCCTCTTTCTCTGTCTCTGTCCTTGTTCTTTTTAGGTTCTATGCCCGGGACTCGGGCCTGCTCAAGTTTGAGATCCAGGCGGGGTTATTGGGCCGCCCCATCAACCACACAGTGCGACGCCTTGTTGCCTTCACCTTTCACCCTTTTGAGCCTTTCGCTATTTCTGTGCAGAGGACTAATGCTGAGTATGTTGTCAACTTCCATATGCGACACTGCTGCACGTAGGTGCCTCACCAGAGCCAGATTATCTGGTCTTCCAAGACTTTGCCACTCACTTATCTCAGTGGACTCCAAAGCAAAAGCTCCCGACTACTAGCTCTGTTAGTTCCAGCCTGCTATACCTCAGATGGGAGAGAGCCAGAGAGAGGAGTGAGGGTGGCTCAACCTAATGGAATTTTTAAATTGTATACAATACTGCTACTGATTGTTATAATATCCTCTTGCGTTTTCCCTGTGGGAATGCCCAGCATTAATTAAGTCCATTTCATTTTTGCTTTACTTTGCATTTGATTGCTGTGAAGATGAAAGCATTAGACTTTTATCCCCTTCATGTCACTTCTTCGGCATTATGGTTTGCATCTGAAAGCAGTTAAATCTTGTTTACTGATGAGAATGACATACATCCTTTCCATTTAGCTCATAAGCACGGCTATCTTTTTAAGAGAAAAATAAAGCCATGGTATTTTCATACTTAAATATATGTGGTTGGATGACTGCTTTATGTTCCTATCATACTCAATGCTTTCAAGTACTTGGGTTCCAGGAAGGACTGTGAAAGAGATGAGAGGCCATGGATGCAGCAGCTGTTCCTGGGAGAACTAAGTGGTAAGTGCCAACAGGGAAGACAGTTATCTGCCAGGATTGTTTCCTTCCCTCGGGTTTTTGCTTGGTAATTGTCACAGCTGGAGGAACTGGGTGTAATTGCACATCCTCATGTGGAAGCATGCTCCCATCTGTACCATCTGTGTCATGCAGGTGGAAGAGTGAGCAGCTCTCCTTGGCCACAGCAGAAACAAATACTGTGTAGCACGTACTGTAATTTGGGTAGTGGGAGCTGGCAAGCCGCAGGTGTCCCTACAGAGACCAGACTGGCTGTTCCTGGATGGCTGAGCCATCACAGCCATCCCGCAAATACCTGGTGGCCCCAGCCACATCCTCTGTCACATTCTCAACTCTTGCCAGCCTGTTTATGTTTCATCTGCATAATGTATCCGCCAGTAGTGTAGTAGGCTTGTTTAGTAACATCTGACTTTGAAGGTAGCTTTGAAATGTTGGGTTCCAGAGCAGACTGTGAAAGGGGCCATGGATGCAAACAGCTGGACCCTGTATTTCCTCTGCCATCCAGACTGACTTTCTTTGGGAAAATAAGAAATGTGATATGAAATCCTGAGTCCCACCAAAAACAGTTCATCTAATTTCAGTGTGATCAAAATGGAGTAGCTAAATTCAGTCTCCTTCAGCATTCAGTGCAGGATTTGAGCACCTGCTATGAGTCAAGTGGAAACTATGTCAGGATGCCAAGGATGAGGAGAGAAATAGACAGATTATTATAATACAGTACAATAACAGCTCTCATTGTGTCTCTCTAGGGACAGTGGAGACAGATGAAGGAAGGGCAGAAAAAGAAAAATATACTGTGGAAGAGCACTGGAGTTGGATCAATGGGAATGTGTTGTATGACCAAGAGTTGAAGATGTTTCAAGGAGAGGCCCAGCATATACAAAGGCATGGAAGTATGAAAATGGTAAATAAGCAAATACAGCTGCAGCATACACTGGGGTGAGGGAGATGGGAAATGTGACTGAACAGGTAGACTGAGGGGATATTGGGAAGAGAGGTCTTGTGCAGGTTGCTAGGGTTTTATGTAGTAGAAGACATAATACGAATTTCACAAGGTAACTTTCAGCAGTCTAGAAGATGGCTTGGAGGGAATAGAGAGTAGAGGGAGAGGCCAGGTGAGTCCGTGGTGGTCATCCAAAGGAGAACAGGAGGGTGTGAATGCTGCCACTGGGCCCCTGGATGGATGAAATACTTAGTAGATCATGAAAAATGTAGGGTTGCAAAGCATGATGATTCTAATTATGTATTAACAATACAAATGCTCAGCCAGGCGTGGTGGCTCATGCCTGTAATCCCAGCACTTTGGGAGGCTGAGGCGGGCGGATCACGAGATCAGGAGATCAAGACCTTCCTGGCTAACACGGTGAAACCCTGTCTCTACTATAAATAAAAAAATTAGCGGGACGTGGTGGCGGGCGCCAGTAGTCCCAGCTACTTTGGAGGCTGAGGCAGGAGAATGGCGTGAACCCGGGAGGTGGGGCTTGAGTGAGTGAGCCGAGATTGCGCCACTGCACTCCAGCCAGCCTGGGGGACAGAGCCAGACTCTGTCTCAAAAAAAAAAAAACAAAAAAAAAAACAAAACAACAACAACCAAACAAACAATACAGTTGCTTCTCAACTTACGAGGGAGTTACGGCCAGATAAACCCATTGTAAGTTGAAGATATCTGATGACGGGTTTACCTGGGCATAATCCCATCTTAAGGACTTTACTCAATATGTATTGCTTTTGCAGTCTTGTAAGTCAGTAAATCCTGAGTTGAGCCATTATTAAGTCAGATACTGGGTATAATTGTGTTCTTGTAGTGTACTACCCATTACCCAGGAGAAGTTGTGTTACATGTTCGTGGGGCTGAACTAACCTTTCTTCATAGAAACACTTTATCTGCAGCTTTTTCTTTGAACCAGGTGGTTTGATTGAACCTGAGGACCTGGCAGAGTGGAAAGAGCATGGAGTGTGAAGTCACTCAGGTCCCAATGGGAATCTGGGCCCTTCTGCTCATTCATGTGTGATCCTAGGCCAATCTTCTATCTTTTCTGAAACTTAATTTGCACTTTCCTCCACCTTAGTCATACATTCCATTGATCCTATCTTAGATCTTTTTATCACCTCAAACTGCCCACCTCTGAAGTTTCAATTTCATAATCCATACACCCCACTCTGACCACTACCTTTTAGCCTTTCACCTCACTCTCTTTACTACCTCCACTACAGAGGATCTTAGACCCCACTGAAGCCTCCAATCCCTGACTCAGGTTAGGATAAGGATAAACTGCTATAGCTAAAAGACCCCACATGCAGTGATTAAACAAGAGAGGAGTTTTTTTCTCTCTCAGGTCACAGTGCAAGGCAGATGTTCAGCATCAGTGAGTGGTTCTGCCACACACAGCCTGAAGGACCCAAGTGTCTTCCATCTTGTTTCTTTGCCATTCACTGTGGTATTGTCTTGGATTGAGATAGGGAGAGGATGAGTGTGGAGGAGACTCTCCATTAGGATCACACATCACTCCCCTTCATGTTCCGTTGGAGAGGTCCTCACCATATGGCCACTTAACAAGCAAGGGAGCTTGGGAAATGTAGTGTGCCTGGCCAGCTGTGTCCTGTGTACTCTTGCATTCAGAAGAAAAGAGAATGAGTTTTGGTGGACCACTAGCCTTTGCTGGGATACCAGCATCTTCATAGCTGTCACCTACCCTCAGATCCTCTCGTCTTTCGTTATTCAGCCTAGGTTGCATGATCTAACACGATAATCACTCCCTTAACTTCCTTGCTGTTCTGCCTCCTTCATGCAAATTTGGAAAACTCTCAACTCTGTACATGTCTGTCTCTGAACAGCTGAAAATAGCTGCAGAAAAACCATGTCTATTCTTAAATTCATGACCACAGACTTAAAATGGGCACTCAAGATCGCTGAGCAATCCTTTCAACATTGTAAGACTTTCCTTATTTGTTTACTTTCCAACTCTCTGAAATTGCTGTTTTGCACCTTTGCCTCTCACTTCAAAACCCCTCCTTCAGTAGGCCAGGCTTGGTGGCTCAGACCTATAATCTCAGTGCTTTGGGAGGCCAAGGTGGGAGGATTGCTTGAACCCAGGAATTCAAGGTTCCAGTGAGCCTCACTACTCCAGCCTGGGCAACAGAGCGACACCCTTTTTATTAAAAACACATTAAAAAACTCCTCCAGTATCTCAGCTGGTCATCTTGCCACTTGGCAGAAATAGAATCAGGTGGGAACTCGCCTTTCTTTACCATGTTAGCTATGACTTGCATCTGTACTTGTTCCCTGCCTTACCTCCTATTGCAGCAAATGGAATAATCCCTGCTTCTCTAAAAGGCAAGCCCCTCTACCTGTCCACTGGATCCTGTCTCCTTGTGGCTTTTCAAAAGACCCTGGTCTTTGTTCCTGCAATTATTTTATCTATCTTGCATCATATTTCTCTTGATAAATCATTTTTGTTGCTAGAAGATCTTTGGTCTTTAAAAAGTCCTGCTTTGACCCCTTATTCTCTTTTATTACTGCTCATTTCTCTGCTACCCTTCATAGCAAAACTTCTCAAAAGAGTTGTCTAAATTAAATGATTTCACTTCCCTGTGGCCCATTTCCTCAACCCACTCCAAAGAAGTCTCTGTCTCCACCCCTCCTCTGAAACTGCAGTTGTCCAGGTCACCAGTGATTTCATGTTGCCAATACAGTGGTCACCTCTAGTCCTTCTTTTCCTCAACCTCCCAATATTGGACATAGCTGATTTGTCTCTATACCAAGAAATACTTGGTTCTCTTGTTTCTAGGACAGTATATGTTTTTTTTCCTGCCTTAATGATTGTTGCTTCTTGGTCCTCTTTGTTGGCTTCCCCTTGTTTGCATCTATTAAGTTGCTTTCAGCTGCAAAAACAGAAGACCCAAAATTTCTGGCTTAAACAATAAGGAAATTTATTGTCTCACAGAATTGGAAATCCAGATGTAGAGTGAATTTCAGGGTTATATGCTCTAGGTCAGCAGTCCCCAACATTTTTGGCACAAGGAACTGGTTTTATGGAAGACAATTTTTCCACAGGTTGGGCACAGGGGAATGGCTTGGGCTGATTCAAGTGCATTACATTTATTCTGCACCATATTTCTATTATTATTACACTGTAATATATAATGAAATAATTATACAGCTCACCATAATGTAGAATCAGTGGGAGCCCTGAGCTTGTTTTCCTGCAACTAGACATTCCCATCTGGGGGTGTTGGGAAACAGTGACAGATCATCAGGCATTAGATTCTCATAAGGAGCGCACAACCTAGATCCCTTGCATACACAGTTCACAATACGGTTTGCGCTCTTATGAGAATCTAATGCCGCCGCTAATCTGACGGGAGGTGGAGCTCAGGTAGTAATGCAAGCAGCTGTAAATAGAGATGAAGCTTCGCTCACTTGCCCACCACTCACCTCCTGCTGTGCGGCCTGGTTCCTAACAGTCCGTGGACAGGTATTGGTCCATGGCCCAGGGATCAGGGACCCCTGTTCTAGGTAATCAGCCATGTCATCTATGAGCCAAGTTCTTTCCTCCTCTTCCCTGCATCCAGAAAATCAGCTTCATCCTAAGGTGGATTCTTTTTGAGTACGCTCATAGGGCACTGGATAGTGGAAATGTGGGATACATGTTACTTCACTGACATCCTCAAAAAAGAAATGTTCCCAGAAATCTTTACCTCATTGTACCATTGACCTGAATTAAGACACATGACATTCCATGCAGACTAGTTTTGGCCAAGGATTCTGATCACTAGCAAAGAGTATGGGACTATCGTGATTGGTTTAGACTGCTCAGGGGACATCCCTAGAGTGAAGTCGGATGTGTGGGAGATGGACAGAACAGAGGGGGATGGAAAAAAGAGAAATTGAGAATAATTCCTAAGTTTTGGAGTCAAATAAATGGATAGATATTGAAGCTATATGAGAAGTCTTGGAGGAAAGACCCGTTAGTGGGGTGGGTGGTGGGTGTAAATCAGTGTAGTTTTAGACATGCTAGTTTTGAAATGCCTATTAGATATCCAGATGAGGATGTTTTAAGTCATGGGATGCATGAATTTAGAGCTCAAGAAAGGAGTCAGGTCTGGATTTATAATGTTAAAAGACATTAGCATATAGCTAGAATTTAAAGCCATGGGAATGGACTATATAGAGTAAAAGAGGTGAGGATCCAAGGCACTGGGGCACTCCAACAGCTGAAGGAGAGCAGAGGGGAAGCACTCACTTCATTGAGTACTTTGGCTTATATTAAGTTATCAATGCCTTTGTTTTTTTGTATATTAGTTTTATTCCTAAAGGATTTAAGGCAGTTCTTAGTCAATTCTAGTGTCTTCTCTCCACAAATGTCTGATGGATCTCAAGAATCTGGAGAAACAAGTTCTTTGGAACCAAAATTATAAGAAAAGCAGGGACAGACTTTCAGATCCAGATTCTTCCCTGAACCTCTCTCCTCCCATCCCTGCTTGGCAGGGAGCTGACATGTCAGCTATCAGTGCCAAGCTGCTCTGGACCTTGAGAGAAGGGCTCCATTTAAGGATAGCAAAACCTCTTTCATTTGGAGCCCTTGCAGAGAAGCACAGTATAAATGAGTGAAAAACCTAAATTAGATAATTTTTAAAAGAATGGTAGCTTCATTATTTTCAAGTACACAGAGTAACTTAAACTCAGTCATGAAGTGTTCCTTTGTAGAAGCCCTTAGGGACTTTCCTTAATGAGTAGATTATAATTATTGGTAATCAGCATAAACGGTTCTCTGCAATGCATGCTTTGAAAGCAATTGAGCATATTAAGTGATTTTGATGTTCCACAGGGCAATTTTGTTTACAGCATTTATCTGCTCAGTATATACCCTTTATAGCTATAACCCTCTGCTTGAAAAAAAAAAAATTCTGAAGTCTTTGCCTATCAGGCAATGTTTGATTACTAGTGTAGGAGGCAGGGAGATACTTAGTAGGACTTGGATTCTTTATCCATGGTGCCTGATAGAATTATGGGAATAAGTTTCATGTGAAGCCTGGTGCAAACCCTGGCTGTGTCACCTATGATGTACCCCTGGGCATGATGATAAGAATTTTAGCACGTCTGTTTCTCCTCTGTAAAACGGGGGTAATTTCTACTTTTCAGGGTCGATGTGAGCACTAAGTGAGTACTAATTAAAGCTCTTGATACAATAAGTGCCCAGTAAATGCACCCTGCCTTCTCCCCTCTCTGTAAATCTCTTGGCCTGTGTGGGAGGGTCTCCCGCCTCTTTAGTGTCACAGTCTGCTCCCAGCCCAGGTTGTACCTCTTCATTTCCTAGTGACCACCTGACATAAGCTTGCCGCTTCTCTAGGCCCAACCCCTGCCCACCCATGTCAGTTGAGGTGGTGCCATTCTTTTGCCATGCATCACCTATGCATACCTAAGGCTGAGGAGACCAGAACACCTCTAACCTGCTTTGCCACCAAACACATTGGTTAAAGGGAGCTTTGTTTGCTGAAGGTTTGTTATTGGTGTGTTGTTGATGGCTAACATTTATTAAAAGCTTACTTACTATGGGCCAGATGCTATGCCAAGCACCTTATATAGGAAAGTATTTGCATTTCATGAATTTTGAGATGCAGTTTTTGAAACTGGAGTGTATCTTAAAGTTGGTGTCTTCTCAGTGTCAGCAAGGCAGCAGTTGCAACATTGCTGTTCTCGTCGCCTGTGGATGTGCAAACTGGGTGTGCTCTTCCCATTGTCATCATTTTTGTTGAGTAATGTGCATTGTTGATAACCACATGTGTTCAGTGTAAGCGCTTTTTAAGATGCCTTCAAAAACATTATACTGTGATTTGGTATTATAATAAAAGGTGGTTTTATACTCAGAAAGGCAGAGCAGTGGGGTTAATTTGATATTAGTAAAGCACAGATTTGCCATTGGAGGAATGAACATGATTTTTTACAAAGCAGGAGGTGTTTTTTTGGAACTAAGAAAGAAAGATACCCACTAGTAAATGAAGTTTTACTGACATGCTGAGATTCATGCGAAAGGATTGCCTATCAAACAGCAAACAAGGCGCAACTAAAGGAGAAGTTGACCCATCCTTTGGAATAAATGGAAGAAGTTTTAATGTAGTGAGAGACACCAATTCATGCAGAGCACAGGACTAATCATTGAGATGTGAATCGATTTGTTAGATGCTTCCTGCTGACTTTGAACAGGAGCTGATTAATTTCCAGGGACATGTGATTCAATATAGAAAGAAGTGAAACTAGAGGTTAAGTCGAATAAGAAACAAAATCTGAAAAAGGCCAAAAGCGCTTTTTGAATACGTATATCTTAAAGGTACTGGCATTTGTCTTAATCAACTATGGGAAGGCACACGCGAAATGACTGTCATGAAGAAAGAAATTTGTTATACGCATAGGTCCCTAGAAATTGAAGGCGTGGTATGCATGCAGGGCCATGGGTAAGCACCTGGATTGGTCAGGAGGCAGAGGGAACAGGCGAAAACATGGATAAGAGCCTGTGTTGTGGTTTCTGCAGAAATTAATGTGCCAGACAGCAGGTAAGCAGGTTTGGGATTGACTAATTTGAATTTTGATGGGCCCTGGGGTCTAGGTGCTATCCCTGGTTGTCTGGTACCTGGCCCTGGGGTGATTAGGGCTGAGTGTGAGAGCCCTATAAAAAGGTGCTTGAGGTGTGGGCTCTGGATTGGTTGGTTTGCATATGAAAGACGTGTTCTCAGGCAAGTTGTTTGCTATCTCCAGGAATTAGCAAACTCTGGGAGGGGCAGTCCAGGGTCAGTACAGCCCCAAGATGTCAAGTCATCAGAAAACAAAAGGCATGGTTAATATAATATAAAAATGATTCCAAGCAATAAGCATTGTCATGGTTTAATTTGTTCTTAGAGTGACAGATTGTGGTAGTCAGCCTCTAAGATGGCCTACAGTGACCCTACCTTCTATATTCATGCCCTCCCACATCGTATCATGGTTGATTGGCATGACCAATAAAACACAGTAGAAGTGATGATGTGCCACTTTCAAGGCTTATTTATAAAAGACATTTCAAGGCTAGGCTTTTGCACCCCGCCCGCACCCCTGGAATCATTCAGCCGCCATATCACAAGAACACACAGGCAAGCTCCTGGAGAGATCTCCTTGCTGAGGAACTGAGGCTTCCTGCTGATAGCCATGTGAATGAAATATCCTGGAATCCAGTCCTCCCGCTTCATTCAAGCCTATAGATGACAGCAACCTCATGAGAAACTCTGAGCCAGAACTGCCCAGCTAAGCCACTCCCAGATTATTGATTCTCAGAAATTGTGTAAGATAATAAATGATTTTTTTTTTTTTAAGACAGGGTCTCCTTCTGTTGCCCAGGCTGGAGTGTGGTGGCATGATCATGGCTCACTGTAGACCTCCTGGGCTCAAACGATCCTCCCGTCTCAGCCTCCTGAGTGGTTGGGACCACAGGTACATGTCACCATGCCTGGCTAATTGTTTTTAATTTTTTGTAGAAACAGGGCCTTCCTATGTTGTCCAGGCTGGTCTCAAACTCCTAGGTTCAAGCGATTCTCCTACCTTGGCCTTCCAAAGTGCTGAGATTACAAGCATGAGCCACTGCGCCTGGCCAATAAATGCTTTAAGCTGCTGAATTTTGGAGGTAATTTGTTGTGTAGCAATATATAGCCAACACATACATAAATAAAGGTGTCTTTTTGCAATATGGCATCCTCTGAAAAATGCAGTATTCCTATTTTGTAGATAAGGAAACTGACCTTAGAGAGATCAAGCAATTTGCTAAAAGTAACATTACTGGTTAATGTCAAGTAAACTTTAACCTGGCCTATGTCAGAATTCATTTAAATCTCTGAATTTATTTAGGTCTAAACTGGTTATTTTACTGATTTCTAAAAATATTAATAGGGAAATTTGATATTTTTGTGTCTTTGTATCCATCTTCTTCCTTGTAGGTGGATGGCTTAGCAAAGTATTTTTTATTAAAGGTTGACAATATATCCCACATAATTTCTCTTTCTCCTGTTTTTTTCTTTAAATTTATTTTATTTTATTTTTTATTTTTTTGAGACAGAGTCTCAGTTTGTTGCCCAGGCTGGAGTGTAGTGGTGAGATCTCAGCTCTTGCAACCGCCGCCTCCCAGACTTAAGCGATTCTCATGCCCCAGTCTCCCAAGTAGCTGGGATTACAGGCATGTGCCACCACTCCCAGCTAATTTTTATATTTTTAGTAGATACTGGGTTTTGCCATGCTGGCCAGGCTGGTCTCCAACTCCTAGCCTCAAGTGATCCACCTGCCTTGGCCTCCCAAAGTGCTGGGATTACAGGTGTGACCCTGGCCTCTTTCTCCTTCTTAACACTAGTGTGTTAGTTGACTTGTGTGTTTATTCATATGTTATACATTTATTGAGGACCTGCTAAGGGCCAGGGACTAGGAATAGAAGAATGTGTAAATCACAGCTCTAACCTTTGCCTTTCTAGTCTGGTAATGTCTCTGAATGCCGATCTCTCTCTCTCTTAGAAAGAGGTGCCTTGTCCTCTCTCTCAACTGTCCCACCATCAGTAAGGGAACCAGGAAACCAGTCTTTGAGTATGGAGTTAACAAGAAAGCTGAGTGTTGGGCGGCTTTTTTGTGGAAGCTCACTGCTTATCCATGTAATGTTTCATTAATTCTTTGATGCTGAAGTTTCACCTCCTGCAGGGAGCATTTGCAGCACCCCAGGCGAGTTGTCAGCAGTTGCTGCCTGGCAGTAGCACACATTAACTCTAGTGAGCAGAAGTGGAGCTCGAAGGCTCCCCACACTGCTGCACCTTGAGCTGCTCTTCCTGGCCCAGCCTGTTCTGCTTCCTGGGACCCCAGATCTGGTCTCCAAGTACTGTTTCTCTTCTAAGTGTAGTCATTAACTTCCCAGAGTGAGAAGAAGAGACTAAAAAAAAAGAGAGACAGACTGTCTCTTAGTTTTAATTAATTGTTGAAAGAATAGAGAGGGGCCATATTTCTACTGAAAGAAAGGAGAAGTTGGGGAATGGGAATATTCTGAACCGGAATGAAAAAGTGAATGAAAGGTAATCTTTAGATTCAGTCTCTTTGCCCTAGTCTTTAAAAGTTTCTGTTGGGGGTTATTTGCCCTAGTCTTTAAAAGTTTCTGTTGGGGGTTACAAAGTTTGAAATCTGTCTTAAGGAGGGATGTATTACTCAAAATAAATTGCCTCTATCATTCAGTGTGATATGATGGACTTGGAAGGGGCAGGATTAGAGGAGGTGAGGGATAAAAATCTACATATTGTGTACAGTGTATACTACTCCAGTGATAGATGCACTAAAATCTCAGCCTTCACCACAGTTCATGCATGTAACCAAAACCACTGCTACCCCAAAAGCTGCTGAAATAAAAAGCAACAACAACAAAAACAAATGGACTCTAGCTTGTTTTCCTTTCAGATCTTCTCTTTTAAATGTCATTCTGGCTAAAACAATTTTTTAAAAATGTTTATCTGAAAAGTGATTGTCAACCCTCAGGGTAGGTTCAGCATGAGATTGATATAGTAGCCATGTCAGAATCCTGAAAGGGATATACTTCGGGAAAAAAAAAAAAAAATAGGCCAGGTGTGGTGGCTCATGCCTGTAATCCTAGCACTTTAGGAGGCCATGGTGGGCAGATCACCTGAGGTCAGGAGTTCAAGACCAGTCTGGCTAACATGGTGAAATCCCGTTTGTACTAAAAGTACAAAAAATTAGCTGGGCGTGGTGGCACACGCCTATAATCCCAGCTACTTGGGAGGCTAAGGCAGGAGAATTGCTTGAACCTGGGAGGCAGAGGTTGCAGTGAGCTGAGATCGCGCCATTGCACTCCAGCTTGGGCAACAAAAGTGAAACTCTGTCTCAAAAAAACAAACAAACAAACAAACAAAAAAACCTCAGTACATTTTTTATTGGGAATTTTATTGGGAAAATGCAAAATGCATACATTTTCATATTACAAACCTCAGAGAGTTTGAAAAGCAATCTTGTCTGATGAGGTTATGCAGAAGGCAGTGATTCATAACTGGGGTACATCCCCTCAAAATCTTAGAAGAACATGAGGTTTACCTAGTTATCAAATGAGGGGATACATTTTAGAAGGTTAAGAAACATGTTAGAAAAATATTGAGTTTCCTAAAAAGGCAGAATGGAGAAATCTGGAGCCAGATGCAGGAACATTTCTGTGTCTCTCATGCTGGAAGGACTCAGGGAGAGGCAAGCAACAGGGACCAAGGTCAGAGAAAAACAAGTATGCAAAATGGACTTGTGATAGCCGGGGTGCCATTGTCTTCTGGGTTTCTGTTTATAATTTTGCAGTGAGAAAGCCCCTTCTAGGGGGGAAAAGTCCCATAAAAATCCCACAAATGAAAATTTATGCGTGGCAAAAAAGCAAAAACAAAACAAAGTCAAACGACAACACCTTTAGCAAAGGATTGATTTCCTTACTACAAAACATCCTATAAATATCTAATAAAAATATGAACACTACAAAAGAAAAAATGGACTATGTTATTAGCAGAGTGTTCCCAGAAAAAAATAAATAAACATGGTCAACAACCACATGACAATTGTTTATAATATTTATTTTTCACCCATCAGATTAGCAAGGGTTAAAGATGTTTGATGACCTAGTATTGACAAGGATGTAGGGTGCTCACCCACTGTTGGTGGGAGAGTAAGTTGGTTCAGATTTCTTGAAAGACAAAAAAGCAATATGTTAAAAAATGCATATAACTTTTAACCCAGTTAAATTCTAACTCTATGTGTCAATACCAAAGGTATCAGAAGAAAAAAATGATAAATGTGTCAGGGCAAAACATTTGTGTATGTGAACAAGACATATGTTCATTGCAACTTTTTATGAAAAAGTGGGAACTGTTAAATGTGCATCGGTAGAAAACAGACTACATACATCGTCAGACAGCCATACAATGGGATCTGATAGAGCTGTTAGAAGTAATGAGGCAAATTTGTACATACTGATTTGGAAAGCTCTCTGAGACATTAGTTGAACTGTGTTTAGCATGATGCTATTTTTCGTGTAAAGAAAAAACTAAACCGTGCTGAACTTAAAGTCAGTCTGCATATAAATACATACATGCTTGTAGAGTCATAGAATGCTTTTGAAAGGATGCAGAAGACTATTAATGGTTTTCTCTGGGAAGTGGGCATGGAAGTGAGGGAAGATAGACATTTCCCTTTATCTTTGTAATTTTTTTTCACTGTGAACATGAATTAAGAAAATCTTTTTCATTGCAGTAAAAAAACATAAAATTTATCATTGTAACTATTTCCAAGTGTAATACCACTGCGAGTTCAGTAGTGCTAAGTACATTCAGGTGGTTATGCAACCAGTCTCCAGAACTTTCATCTTGCGAAGCTGAAACTCCATACGCATTAAACAACAACTCCCTGTTCTCCCTCCCCACAGACCCTGGCAGCCGCCATTCTACTTTCTGTCTCTATGAATTTGATTACTCTAGTAATCATATAAGTGGAACACTAGTATCTGTCCTTTTGTGACTGGCTTATTTCACTTAGCATCATGTCTTCAAAGTTCATGCATGTTGTAGCGTGTGTCAGAATTTCCTTCCTTTTTAAGGCTGAATAATACTCCATTGTGGGTAGATACCACCTTTTGTTTATCCATTCACCCATCAATAGACACTTGGGTTGCTTCCACCTCTTGGCTCTTGTGAATAGTGCTGTGATGAACAATAGATGTGTAACTATCTCTTGGAGAGCCTGCTTTCAATTATTTTGGGCATATACCCAGAAGTGGCATTTAATGAGATTTTCTTAAAAGTATTTAACAGATGAATTCACCTGCAGCAGTAGAGGTGGTATTAGGTAGACACTCTGTGGGCTAGTTGAACTGAGTAGTCTGAGGCCAGATTTTCTTTACCAGCCTCCCAGGGGTTTAGCAATTTCATTCCTGCCCCCTGAGCCTTTCCTTTGCGCAGAGACAGGAGGAGGCTTAGCAGGCTTGTGAACCAGCTGCTCCCATCTGCATTAATTCAGCACATTTCTATAGCTCCCTGAAGGAGGAGATGGTGCAGCAGCATTTAATTAGTGGCCAGGAACATGCTTTCCCAAGGACACGACTTATTTCTCAGCCAGCTGCTGCCTGTTGCTCCCTAGCAACATGAAGTACTCACATGATTGCTCTAGGGCCCTTTCTCTCCAGACGAGGGGGTGGCCAGTTCACCTGCTGTCATAGCCTGGGGTGGAGGCAGGGGTGTCCTTGGGTCTGGGGCTAATTCTTCAGAAGAGGGTGGTCTGAACTTGTTATTCCTGCCAGCTGTGGTACTGAACCTCTTGATCCTTGAACTGCCTACTAGCGGTTCAGGAGCTCCACCACTCCTCTCCTTCAGGTTCATGATTAGAGCAGACAGAATGTGACCAGCTATAACACAGACAGAGCAACATGGCCTGGAAAAGTCCACTGGGATTTTAAGGTACAGCTGAGAGACTTTGAGGAAGAGGGAATGACCTCAGCCCCAGTTGGGAGGCCTGCCTTTCAGGATGGACTAGGGAGGGCGGGTATCGGAGGCCCTGACACCACACCACCTTGTGCAAGAGGAGCAAGGGGAGCTTCAGCCTCATCCTAGGTGACTGGCTAACTGGCTAACTAGGGCCCTTGGAAAGAGAGAGTGTGATGGCAGATATCCAAAGCAGCCACCACTGTGAGTCTGAACTTGCCTTCCTCACCAGGTTTGAGAGATGGCTGCTCAGAGACTAGACTTCAGACCAGGCTGGTTCCTCCCAAGTGCTTCTGCAGAGGTTGCAAACTGGAGGCCTTGAGATGAGGTGCTGCACACTGACATGCTTTATTTGGTATGTTTGCAGTTTTGAAGTTTTAAAGAATATCCTGCTTTTTCATGTTGCTGTCAGGAAGCCTAACAGTCCCACATGCCAATAATCGGGGCCCCCTTTAGACTGAGCATGTGTGCTCTCCAGCTTACACAGTCCCCTCCTCACTCCTTCAACCCTGTTTGAGTGTGAGATTCCTGTGTCCTTCTCTAGCCACAATGGTGAGCATGGCTGTGTCTGCAGGGGCCACCTCGTATTTATTCATTCATTCCACAAACATTTATTGAGTTTCTTTTGAGTATCTGGCCCTGAGCTAGGCACTAGGCTAAAAAGATCAATACAGTGTGGTCTTTGGACTCCCTGAGCTTATGGACCAGGTTCAGAGACAGACAAGTAAATGGGCTGGGGGGATTCACTGAAATTAGGTGACAGTTGCACAAGGTTTGGGGGAGCACAGAGACCTTGGGTATCTGACCTAGACTGGGGGGTTGAGGAAGGCTTCTGGCAAAGATATCACCTGAGGTGAAAATTCTGAAGGATGAGAGGAGTTAGCCTGATGACAACAGGGGAGAGGTGGAGGAATGGGAAGAGAAGGGTGTTCCAGCCAGAGGCAGTGAGGTACAGACGCATGGAGGCACGACAGAGTTTGGCATGCTTGGGGACCAGCAAACAAAACCTTGCTTAAAGCTAAGTGCCCCCATTGGGGTGGCCAGGGAGGCAGTGGGGAGCAGATCGTGAAGAGCCTTGTCAGCCTTCTGAGCTTTTGCGTTTAGAGAGTCCTTGAAGAGTTTAATTGGTGAAGCCATTTGTCAGATTTGTGTTTTCAGATTACCCTGGCTACAGAATGGATTTGATGCAGGAAGCAGGGAGGTCTAGAAAAGAGGCCTTTACAGTCACATAGGAAGTAAATCATCTATGCGTAGGAGACTCCTGAACTCCTCCCTCCCACCCTGTAGGCAAGGGAGACCTGATGAAAGGGAGGAACAGACTTTCAGAGGTGCAGAAACTGCCCTAAGTTCGGCCTCTGCTGTTTGCATTCAGCCTGCGTTCTTACTGCTTCCTCTGCCCACTTTGTTCCTGCTTCTCCCACCCTCACTAGCTTCTTATAACTGGCAGCTGGACTTGATAATATCAGCGGAGGCTTGGCACAGTGCTGGCACAGTCAGTGCTCAATCAGGGACAGCTATTGTTGGACAACCTGGCTGGCAGAGATCTCAGCTTCCGTCCAAGCTGCTGCCTCTCAGACGGAGCTCTCAGTGTGCTGGGCACTATCGCACGTGGCCTGTCCCAGCCTAGGGTACCGTCCCCTCTACACCTGACCAGGCCTCAGTGCCCTGTGCCCCAGGGTGGATGGTCAGGAGTGCTGGTGGGTTGGCAGTGGTCAAGGGATGGGGAGGATGCGATGGATGGGCATGATATAGAGAGTGAGCAGTTGTACACGGGCGACCAAGGGAAGGACAAAGTCAGGGATGAGTCAGCAGGTGGGGGAAGATGGTGCCCAGCCAAGACTGGGGAGCCACGAAGAGGCCAGTTGGGAAGGAGAGATGCCGGACACGGTTTGTGGTGCTCATGAGAAGATAGCCAGTGGGAACATGCATGGGAGAGGCAGGTAATGAACCTGGAGAGCCAGACCTTGAGACTGGAGATCAAGCTTGAGGAGCCAGAGGCAGAGCATGCAACTGGTATCATGAGAGCCACCGAGTCACCCAGGGGAGTGTTTTGAGCAGTAACTGTGTGCCAAGCATGGTGTTCTCACTGTATTAACTGCTGAAATCCTCACAGCAACCCCATGAAGTAAATCAAGAGGTGTTTCCGGACCGCTCAGTTACCAGCCCTCAGTTACTGAGTGGAAGAGTTAGGATTTGAGCTTGCGTGGTCTCTGCTTCCGAAGCTTCTGTTGAGAACTGTCACGTGCCTGCATTGCTGCCCTCTCTGGGCACCTGTCCTAGGGAGTCGTCAGACATTTCCGTCAATCTAAACGACAGCTCTGTGAAGGAGACAATAATATTCCTGTTTTCAGATGAGAACATTGAGGCTCAGAGACTTGCCCTAAATAACACACATGGTGGATGTAAAATCAGGATTTGAATCGAGTCTGATTCTGAAGCCTGAGCTGTTGTCATGAGCACATGCTGTCTTTGGGGCCAGGTTGGATAGTGAAGGAGGCGAGGACCCCTGCAAACCTGAGGCAGAGGAGTTCTGTGACCCAATGCCCAGATGAAGCAGAGGGGAGGGGAGTAGGAGCGAGAGAGGGAGAGTGCCGGAGGGACAGAATTCATCACACTCACCAAGGGAGGGAGGCTGGTGAGTTGCCTAAGATTTGGTCTCTAGAATTCTGACTCCATGCTTCCTCAGCTCTCTGACCCTGCTGTATTGTCTCAGCCTCAGTTTCTTCATCTGTAAACAGGCATAATAATACTGACTGCTGAGTGTGGTTTTGAGGATGAAATGAGAGACTTCATGTCTGGCCAGGGTCTAATATGTAGTGAGCCATCCACAACAGAAAGCACTTGTCAAGTGCCAGGCTAGGCTGCCCTCTCCAGAGAGCCTCTCCTTCAGTCAGGCTGGGCACAAGTGCATGTTTGAAGGGTTAATTTGGCATTTTCAAGTCATTCTACCCATGGTGAGAAAGTACTAGCTTTTTCCATTTCTGGAGAGACTATAGGAGATGACAGCCTTTGGTCTGGCTTCCATTCCAGCTGCTGCTTATTGATGAAGTGAAAATAGGAAGCTACCACCTCTCAATTCTCCTGCTGTGCTGGCAACATCGGCCTGTCTCAGCCTGCAGACACCTTCTAGGTGTGTGTTTTTTATATTGTGTGAGCCACAGGACAACAGGATTCTGGCTTGGGGGTGGAAGTGCAGAGGAAGACGGTGGAGGGCTGTGTTCTCTCCACACCTTCCTCAGAAAATACAAAAGAGTGGCTGGGCTGTGGCCACTCAGTGCTGCAGGTAGCACAGAACTGCAGGCAGACTTACACTGCAACCTCACACTGAAGTAGTGCTTGCAAGGTCTCCGAGGCCACCTAATTCACAGGCTCCCAGCAGTTTCCAGTCCAGGGCCTTGGTTCACCCATACAGTGACTTCAGTGGGCTCACCCCCATGGTTCTATTTTTCAGACCCTTTGAGTGACGTTGTCATTTGATTGGTTCCCATAGCATTTGAACCTCTTTCTGGGTTTGTGTGGTCCTACACTTTCTGAGTTCTAACTGGAAGCAAAGGCCAGCCTCCCTCACAGGGGCATTGCTGCTGAGGCTCTGCCAATCAGCCCACCTGTGCCAGACTTCTGGAGCCAGCTGTGCAACACAGATATCCTGGGGGAGCTCCCTTTGTAGGGCAGCAGCCCCCAGATACTAGTATTTTAGTACCAAGGTTGAGTTTTCCAGATCACATCTGGAAACAGCATAAAAAATTATTCTACTGCTGGAGTGATGAGGGTTAGGCAAAAGGATTCCCACTGCATAGACTGGGAAACCAGTAAGAGAACAAGGACAAGGGAGTCACTGACAGGGTCACAGTTAGCGTGCAGGCCTTTCATTTTATAGTCTTGCCGCTAGATCCTTAAGGTCCGTTCATAGTTTTCAGGACACTTTCTGAAGAGGGTTCTAAAGCTATTCCTTTGGGCCTCCTTAGAGTGCAAACAGAGGAGCTGAAGGCCCTGAGTTAAAGCAGGCATCTATAAGCCCCATCCAGGGGGAGTGCAGGGGAGCTAAAAACAGTGAGCACTTCTTGGGCACTTGAACCAGACACTGTGCTAAAATTCTTTGTGTGTGTCAATTATGATCCACTCAACTCTCTGAAATGCCTATTGTTACTGTCTTCATCTTACAGATAAGGAATTCAGGCACAGAGAAAGTAAGTAATCTTCTGAAAGTCACAAAGCTGGAGCCAGAATTCAAACTTAGACTTCAGGCCAGGCGTGGTGGCTCATGCCTGTAATCCCAGCACTTTGGGAGGCTGAGGTGGGCGGATCATGAGGTCAGGAGATCGAGACCATCCTGGCAAACATGGTGAAACCTCGTCTCTACTAAAAATACAAAAAAAAAAAAAAAAAAATTAGCCGGGTGTGGTGGCAGGTGCCTGTAGTCCCAGCTACTCAGGAGGCTGAGGCAGGAGAATGGCATGAACCCGGGAGGTGGAGCTTACAGTGAGTGGAGATCCCGCCACTGCACTCCTGCCTGGGCAACAGAGCGAGACTCCGTCTCAAAAAAAAAAAAAAAAAAAAAAGACTTAGGTCTGCAGCTCAGTCATCTTTACCCTGCTACATGAGGCACTGGGGAAGGGTATGGGGTAGGGAAGGACAGACGGTTTATCTGGAACTCACACTGCATGCAGGTGGCCAGCCATGTGGGAAGGAGGGAAAATCCCCATCTGAGCCACAGATCCAAACCAGAAGGAACTGAATGAGATGCTCCGAGGGATAAGGCCTGTCTTAGAGACATCCTCGCATCTAGGAGAGGGGGCGGCAGATGGGCAGCCGTGGAGCCCAGCCCTGACCAGCTGCTGTTTGCAGGGGAGAGCTGCCTGTGTGCCCCTGTGGTGAGTGCGTGGTGACAGTGGGATTAAGTGTACCCAGCAACCTCAGGGACCACTGGGTGGAGGAGACGCACGGCGGGCCCTTCTGCCTGGCCCTTCCCGCAACTCTGAGTCCTGGATGCTTGGGGCTTGCTAATCTCCATCCCCACGGCAGCGGGATGCGACACAACCATTACTAAGGCCATGGAATCTCCCACCTCTCGATGGCCAGGCGGTTCACCCAGCAAGTGTCTCCTAATCTGAAGAGCTGGGAGAGCGAAAGATTTTATAAGTTATCAGAGAACCCCCTGTAACCTCCCTTCTAGAAAGGAAGATGTAAACCAGGACAATGGGCCTGTAGCTGGCACCTGAAGTCAGTGATCTCTCTCCTCCCCTCCTCTAAATTCTCCTTCTTCCGTGTTTTCTACATCCCCCGTGATTTGAGTCTGCTGATTTCATTTGTTATGTCTGCCTTCTGTTTCCTGCCTCATTTCACAAAGAATTAGATGCTGCTCTCAACAATACATTCAAAATAATACAACCATAAAGTAAATATTTGAGTAATTTGGAGCCAGAGGAATATATGGTAACACCCTGAGGTGGATGAAATGCCGGGATTTCTTAGTGACCCCTTTTCAGAATACTGCTTCTGGAACCATTCTAGTGTGTCTCAGAATGACATGTGGGACATATTATCTTTTTTTTTATGTTATATAAGCAATTTATTCAATGCATGTTTATTAAAGCACCTATGTTTTGAAAAGAAAAAATATCTCTACTTTTCTAAATTATTTTGTCACATTTTGGAGATATAACTATGGTCCTTTCACAATCAGACCCCGGTTAATGTTTTGGGTTCTAGATAACACTGTAGAATCCACCCCATGTATCATTTTAGTCATTCATCTTGTTGTTAATCCAGAGTTCACTTACTGTTTTGGGATGTTTCTCCAGAAACAGTCTAGAAAACCATCTTAAAAGTCACATTTTGTAATGCATGCCAGTGTTGCCATGCCGTTTTCTGGAACACGGCTGAATCTGGAGCTGGGCTTTTGCTCCTCTGCATTGTGGGGCAGGTCAGGACAGCTCTGGGCAGCTGACATGGTTAGAGGTGAGGCCCCCACTCCAGCCACCGCCATAGGCTCTCCTGTTCAGTGAGGCCATCAACACACATTTAGCACCTACCCAGCACTTTCCTAGGCTCCAGCTACAACAAAGCCACAAATCCTGCCTTCATAGAGTTACATTCTAGCCAAAGACACAGAACATAAACAAGAAAACTAACGAGTGACATGATCTGACTTGTGCTTTAAAAATAATACTGTGAGGTGGGCGGATCACTTGAGTCAGGAGTTTGATACCAGCCTGGCCAACATGGTAAAACCTCGTCTCTACTAAAAATACAAAAAAGCCTAGCCAGGCGTGGTGGCATGCGCCTGTAATCCCAGCTACTCGGCAGGCTGAGGCATGAGAATGTCTTGAACCTGGGAGGCAGAGGTTGCAGTGAGCCGAGATCACGCCACTGCACTCCAGCCTGGGTGACGGAGGGAGACTCTGTCTCAAAAAAAAAAAAAAAAAAAATTACTCTGGATGTTGGGGGCAAAATGGAGCTGTGCTTGGAGGATAAGGTGGTTAGGAGGCCAAGGCAAAGGGCCAGGCAAGAGTAGGGTGGTACAAGGAGAAACGGTGAGAAGCAGTCAGATTGGGATATATATTGGAGGTTGGGCCAACTGGACAAGTCAATGAGCTCAGCACAGGGGTAAGGAAAAGGAGTCAATGACTGCAAAGTCTGTTGGCCTGACAGTAAGTGGTTACCTTAGGTCAGACTGGGTTAGAGGAAGGATTTTCTGGGGATGGGATGAAAACCAAGAGTTGCAATTTAGCCATGTTGGGTTGAGCTGTTTATTAGACATTCAGTAAGAAGATCTATATATTTCTAGTGATCAGTGACCACTCTGCTAAACCTGGGCTGGGTGTGTTGGAGTAGAGAGGGTGGTCCCACAGGAACAGGCTGCCAGCCAGCCCCACAGCCTATGACCAGGGCAACCCGGAAGACCCCCACCCATGGCAACTTGCTCTAGTTTTATAAATTCACTCATTCATTTGACACATTCAACACATATATTGAGTGCCACGCTGGATATTTTCAATGTGCCCTGCAAAGGCACAAGTTTATGGTATAATCTAAATGGATGGATAACATATTCTTTTCTGTTGTCATATTTAGTGCCCTAACTTTTGAAAAAACACAAAAGCTGGCTGAGTGAATGGATCAGTTTATAAAATATAGTTAATAAGGCCCATGAGTCCTGGCTGCCATTGCTAGGCTGGTGGGAGGACACATGAACTCAGAGCCCTTTTATTCTGTGCCTCTGTCCCTCAGGCCACTCTCTGCAGGCCACCAACTCCTCACTGCTGTCCACTCTCCATTCTCCAAGTGTTGCCATGCCTCTGATCACAGCCCTGCTCGGGACCCTTAGGCACGCCCCAGCCTCCTCTGCAGGCCCTTCACTGCCTGGCCTCAGCCCTGTTTCCAGTCCTTCCCCTCAGCCCGCACCTGCACTGACTCCGCCCCATCCTGCCCGGATCACTCAGGAGGGCTGTTTCCTGGCTCCTGGAACACAGCCAATGCGTTTCTTGGCCTTCTGCGCATCATTCATGCCATGCCTTCCGCCCACTTGTTGCCACAGAAGGCCTAGCCCAGCAGCTGCCACCCTCAGAGGACTTCCTTCCCTGGTCCCTGCCCATCTCTGCCCCCAGCACAGTGACTGCCATGCTCCTCGGTGCTCCTGAGGTGCTGGTCCTTCGAGAAATCACAAGCCCACCCAGGAAGCACTGCTGCCCTGTGCCTGGGAGGCTGGACTTCTCCTTCAGTCACAAGGTGCAGAGAAGGCAGGTGGCCCGTGTTCTCGCTGCCCAGCCAGCTCTGCGTGCAGTTAGGGAGCCAACTCACTGTGAGCTCCTGGAGGCTGAGACAGGGTCCACAGTCTAATGCTGTGCTTTTCGGCAGGTCCAGGGTAGGGTTACTGCAAAGGCCTTTCCTGGAACTTGCTAGAGGTGCAGACTTTCAGGCCGCACCCAGGGTCTACTGAATCAGCACCTGCATTTTCACAAGGGTCCCTAGGAATGCATGTGAACAGCCGAGGATGAGAAGGGCTGGTAAGAGAAGGGCTAGTCACCTCCAGACAGGACTTAATAAAGGACAGCAAAATGAATCCAACAGTGGCCACCCATTCCAGGCCAAGTAAGAGACTTTGAAAAGGTGTATTGCACCAGTCAGACTCTTGGTTGCAGGAAACAGAAACCACTCTGGCTATTTTAGGTGGAAAAGGATTTGTTACTGGATATTAGGTGTTTACATATCCTTGGAAGGGTCCAGAGTGTCCCTGCAGATGCCCTAGGTTGCTGCTACCTTGGTCCCCATCAGGAAGACAGGGCTTCCGGGGGGATTGTGGGGGCGGGCGACCTTCAGCTTCTTGACCCCAATGGAGGGGCTCTCATGGCCACTGTCACAGCCACCTCTCAACACCCACAAAGCTGCTATGGAAAAATCCACCATCTCCCCAACAAAAGAGTGGGGAGTAAGCAAATGCTTTACTAAAAAGTAAAAAAACCCAAGATGACCAAGGGCAGGGGGTGGGGGTGGGGCATGAGGCTGGTCTCTGCCACTCTTCTTCCAATTCTTGTGCAGGCACAACTCGTGAGACATCATATACAGCCACAGCTGCTTTCCCCTGCTTGGAAGTCAAGCGAAGGGCAGCTGGCTTGTAGAGTGTGGAGCCTATCACAGGTGCAGGGTGATGTCTCATGATCTGGCTGAAGGCTTGCTGAGCTGCAGAAAACCTGTGAGCCTACTCCGTGCCACCTCTAAAGCAGACTTTAACAAGAGAGTTCTTGGGAGCAAAGCACTGATGGTGCCTCATGTGACTTGGTTGGGGCATCACCATGCAGGTAGATAATGGAGCATGCTTCTTCCAGGAGAAGCCTGGAAGTGGAAGGCTGGAGGAGCAGCCTGTATGGTAGGGCAAAGAGAGAGCGGCAATGGCTGGGTAAGTTATGCTGCTAGCAACTGGTGGCCCCCAAGGCTCCTGCGGCTCAGTGGGCACTGTGAAGGGAGCTGGGCTTGAGCCAACATTGCTGGTACCCCTCTCACCTAATGGGGCTCAGGGGTCCCCCCAGTAGGAGGCTGGATGGGGTGGGCCACAGGGCAGGAGCTGAGGCAGGTGAGGAGAGGCAGCGCAGAGTGCTCAGGCTTGTCAGGGAAGGGGCTGTGTTTGGAGGCGACCTGGAGACAGCTCTGTGTTGGAGATTAGGGGAGTACCCCAGGATCAATGCCTGTGGGAGGAAGAGGAGGAAGCGGGATCAGGCGGAGGAAGAAGGTGAGTTGTGCTGCAGGCCCCTGGGGGGTTCAGTTGGAGCTGAAACTGCCTGTCAGGGATGCCCCCTGTTGGTGGTCATGCCATTGGAAGGGTGTGGCCTGGGCTGTCCCTGGTGCTGACAGTGCTCCCAGTAGCTGGGCGATAGGTGCTTCCATGAGGAGGTCTGGGCAGTACAACTCCATATCCCCCTCAGAAAGGCCTGGGGCAGAGGTCTCTGCATGGATGGATGGGTGGGGCAAGTCTCCAGAGAGCTCACTCTAGGGCCCATGAAAGAATCCCCCCGGAGTAAAGGAGGTGTAACTGCCAGGGTTGGCCAAGAGAGCCTCACATATAGCACCTGCTGAGCAAAACAACCTGACTCTCCCCGAGTTCCATCTTCTGCGATCCCAGACCTGGAAAAGCCTGAAGATGAGGAGGGGAAGCTGCACGTGGGTTGTGAGATTGAGGTTTTATTATAGACTTGACTGGACTTTTAGGTCTCTGAAGAAGAGTCATAACTATCAAATGGGATTTATTCTTGGAATTAAAAGTAACCAGGCCAGGTGCAGTGGTGGCTCACCCCTGTAATCCCAGCACTTTGGGAGGCCAAGGCAGGTGGATCACTTGAGGTCAGGAGTTCGAGACCAGCCTGGCCAACATGGAAAAACCCCGTCTCTATTAAAAGAAGAAAAAGTAACCAGAAAGCCACAGAGTCTCCCTGAGATGGAGCTTTAGGAGTCTAGAAAGGGAGATGTGAGGAAGCTGATTGGAGGCAGTGATGGGAGAAAAATAAAGGGTATCCTGTCGGTACTCCAAGTTCAGCCCGCTACAGAGTGTGTGCTCACTGAGGGGCTGGGGTAGGGTGGTTCTGTCCTGGGGTGGCAGGGAGCAGAGGAGGTGGGGGATGCTGCACTTTTGGCTTGTCGCATCCTGGGAGGCTTTGGAGTCCACATGTGACCCAGTTTTCTGCCTCTGAGCGAAGTGAGCTCTGATTAGAGGAGGTGTGAGAGCTCTAAATGACTGCAAAGTTTTCAATCAGACAGAAAATAGGTGAGAAATGCATTTCCGTTAATGCCCCAATTATCCCAATCCCAACAGGACAAAAAATGTGCTTTTGCCTGCTCCCAGGGACGAGACCACCAGGATCCCCTGTGTGTCCTCTCCCAGATGCAGCCCGGCTGGCACAGCTGAGGGGGCTGGAGAGGGGTCCTTACAATGCACGGAAGCTCCCCCGCCCTTTCAGAGGGCTCAGGATCAGGCCCAGGCGAGTCCCATCCCTGAGCCGGGGCCCACACAGGCTCTGCTGGTGGCGCCCCTGCAGCCGCTTCTGTACATCTCCCCTCTCCTCCACCCGGAAATGGCACCTTTGCCTCTGCCATGGATTGGATGTCCCCTCCAAAACCCATGTTGAGATTTAATTGCCATTGTGACAGTATTAACGGGGGGGGGGCAGTAAGAGGTGATTAGGTCATGGAGCGGATTGTTAGAAAATCCAGTTTGGCCTTTGCATTCTTTCTCTCTTTTTTTCTTATGCTCTCTCTCTCTCTCTCTCTCTCTCTCTCACATGCCCTTTCTCTTTCTCATGATCTCTTTCTCTCTCTCTCTCTCTCATATCCCCTTTCTTGCCCTTCTGCCTTCCTCCATGGGATGACACAGCACAAAGGCCCTCATGAGATTTGGTCCCTCAACCTTGAATTCACAGCCTTTAGAACTGTAAGAAATAAGTTACCCAGTCTGTGGTATTCCATTATAGCAGCACAAAAGGGACTAAGACAGCCTCCTAAACCTCCCTAGAATCTGCCCTGCCTGCAATCCTGCTTGTGGCTGTTTTCTGCCAGACTCATCTCTCACCTGGATCCCAGCCATGACCTCCTGTGGGTCTCCCTGACTCCAGGTGCCTTTAGTTCGTCCATCCAGCGCCCCAGACCCCAGTCTGCTCTTTCTAAAACACATCTCTGACCATGGCACAGCCCTGTTAAAACCTTTCAGAGGCTCATGCTGCTTACAGCCTGCAGAGGGCCCTGCTGGTGCCCCAGTAGCATAGGGCCCTTCTGATGTTATGAGGCCACCAGATGCCTGGCTGTCCCTCCCTCTCTTATCCCACCTGCAGTCCACCCCAGCCTTGCCCATTTTCCTCTTCTATATCCACCACCCCCAACTTCTCTCCATCCCCACTGACTTCTCCAGCATTCTCTCCTGCCTCTATTAGATTCCTGTGGCTGCTGTGACAAATGACCACACCCTGGGTGCCTAAAACCACAGACATTTGTTCTGTCACAGTTCTGGAGGCCAGAAGTCCCAAATCAGTATCATTGGGCCAAAATCAAGTTGGCAGCAGGGCTATGCTTCCTTCAGAGGCTCTAGGGAATGAAACCATCTCTACAGGGTTGATAAGAATTGCCTGCCCAGCTCTGGATAGAAATATAGTTAGAATTAAGCATTGATCAGGCTGCTCTTTGGCCCTCTTCTTTGTTGCTAAAAGTCATGTAGCGCTGGTTACTGACCATTTGCATCCCCATCGTTTCTACAGATAGGATTTCTGACATTAGGATTCTGAGACTAAGAATTGATTTCATCCACGTTGTTCCTATAGACAGGATCTCTGACATTAGAATCATAGAGCTTTTGTGGAAGGATGGCTTAAGATATTTTCCAGGCCATGAATTCCAGGAATGAGTTTGAAGACCCCCACACAGGAATGGGATCGGCATGAGAATTCAGCTGTTTCATCTCCTTGTCCCGTGACTTCACCCTGCACTCTTCCACCCATCAGTGATCTCCACACTTCGGCCCACTCCAAAACTCTTAAAAACCCTAGCCCCAAACTCACTGGGGAGATGGATTTAAGGTTTCCTCTTATCTCCTCATTCGGTGACCCTGTGATTAAACTCCTTTCTCTACTGCAGCCTGGTGTTTCGGCATATTGACTTGCTGTGCACACCGGGCAATGAAACATCACAGTTTCAGGAACAATCTGTTCTTGCCCCTTCCAGCTTCTGGTGGATTTTGGCATTTCTTGGCCTATGGCTGAATCTCTCCAGTCTCTGCCTCTGTGGTCACATGGCCTTTCCTCTTCTGTTTATGTAGTCAAATCTTCTGGCTCCATTTTATAAGAATACCTGTGACTCCATTTAGGATCCACTAGATCATCCAGGATAATCTCCCCATCTCAAGAGCACTCATATTTCTTTTTCTTTTTTTTAAGAGATGGGGGTCTTGCTATGTTGCCCAGGCTGGACTCGAAGTTCTGGGTGCAAGTGATTCTCCTGTCTTGGCCTCCTGAGCAGCTGGGACTACAAGCATGCACCACTGTGCCTGGCTTTCAAGATCTTTAATTTAAGGCTGGGCATGGTGACTCACACCTGTAATCCCAGTACTTTTGGAGGTCGAGGAAGGAGGATCCCTTGCATTCTACCCTTTGTTCATGCCATCTTCTTTGCTGCAAACTCCCCCCATCACCCCTCATCACCCATAGTTGCCTCCTAACTCTTACTCTGATTTTGAGCTTGTGTCACCTCCTCTAGGAAGTGTTCCTTGATTCATCTTCTCATCCCCACCATAACACACACAGACTCTAGGGCACGCGCTGTCTCACTCACAGGTGTCCCCATTCTGTGGTAGCACTCAGTGGTGTCACAATGGACTTTTTCTGAATTTGTCTCCCCAGCTAGCCTCCTAGGCTGCTCAGGCCAGTTACTAGGGCTTAGACATCCTGAATCTGAGTGTTGATAGATGCTTGAGGAATGAGGGAGGGAAGAAAGACTCTTGAGGGATAGACTTTCCAATCATTTGGCGTTTTCATTTCATTTCATTTTTGGCTGCAATTTTTTTTTTTAAACGATCTGGCTTTATCTACAGTTGGATGAATTTAAGGAATTAGGAAGATGGGTGATTGGCTCCCACAGGACTTTTCTGATTAAAATTACAGGAAAAATATTTGAAAATAATTAATAATTGTAACAGCAGCAACAAGATGGGCATGCATCTGCATTCACCACTGTGCTCCCCGCCAGGGCCCCACAGAATCAGCCAAGGCCCTGCGAGGATGGAAGCTGCCACCTTAGCAGTGTGAGGATTGGGAGGGCAGGGCAGGAAAGGCAGGGCCAGCCTGGATGACACTCGCTGTGCCTGAGCAGAGTACACAGTTGCCTTACAAATCCCCCTGCCAGTCCTGTGAAAGTGGGAGTAGCTGAGGCTCAGAGAGATGCAGCCATTCCTCCAAGGTCACACAGTAGAGCTGAGATTCAAACCCTGGTCTTTGTGACTCCAAAGCCTAAGCTCTTCTCAGCCCAGCAGGCTAGAAGGAATGGGCAACTGAGCAGGGTGGCAGGTGGGGGGCATCGGCAGGGAGCGGGCCTGGCCTAGAGTCTAGGGGAGAACTAATTGGATTCCCTGGGGCATAGAATCTGGCTTGTGTAACATCCCTGAGGCTCTCCCTCAGAGCAGCTTAGTGAGTCAGGATCCAGGCTTTCTTCCCAGCCACGAAGGACCTGTAGGCTCCTTAGATGCTGGAGCTGCGTCCCACTCAACCCCCTCATGGTCCTGAGAAACTGAAGTCTTGTGTTGGGGAGGGAGTGTGGCCTGACAGCCTGCATGCTGAGTCTGGGCTCAAGCTGGGTCTAGACAACAGGTGTCCTCCCAGCCAGGGCCCCCTGTGACACCATGCTGCCCCTCAGTTGACATTTCTTTTTAGTTCAAGGGGATTACGCAAATCCTAGGCGGTTAAGCTGCCGCAGGGCACTATGGAAACAGATCGCCCTGCTCTCTCTGCCTCCTCCTCCCAGCCAAGCAATAATGACACCGAGGCTGACTTTTCTGGCAAGACTTGTTATGCTAATTTGGGAGCATGTGCATAGTTTTATTTGAACCTGGGTGGGCAGCAGAGAGAAGCCAGATTAATTACGAGAACAAATTTCAGAGCCAAATCAGATGTCTTCCCCCAAATACTGGACCAACAGTGGAGATGGGGAGTGTTACAGGGTCCGTGTGTGTCCAAATATATACTAAAAAAATGTTATGTGCACATTTCAGCAGATGATTTATGTAATGCCTGACTGCAGCATCTATACATTTTTTTAAAAAGTTCTTTATTTTTATTTTAATTGGTTCATTAATTAATATGAATAAGTAACATCAATATAGCACCTACTTCTAAAGGTGAAGAAGGTAAAGAGTTGAGTCTGCTTTCCACCTGCTACTCTGTCACCCAGTTTCCCTCCCTGGAGCTGAGCACACTGCCAGTTTGGGATATGTCTTTCCAGATACTGAATGCATACACAAACATGTATGTACACACCTTTTCTCCTTTTCTACAAAAATTAGCAACTACACTGTGCACAACGTTCTGCCCCCACTCGTTTATTTTTCACTTAGCAAAGCATCTTGGTGTGTTTCAGGGCCAACATTCCATTATCTGGATGTACTGTATTGTAATTTAACTAGCCCCCTATTGATGGACATTTAGGTTCCAATCTTTTACAGTACCTTCAAAAATATCTTTGCATACTTGGTACACATGGGAAAGAATATCTATAGCTTTGTGGTCCCACACTCGCTGGTCACCTGTGGCTATTTCAAAGTTAATTAATTCATATTAAATAGAATTTAAAACGCAGTTCCTAGTCACATTTTAAGAGCCATGTGGGGCTAGTGGCTTCCATTCTGGCAGGGAAGATATAGGGCATTTCTGTTGTGCAAGGAGTTCTAGTGGACAGCGATGCTGTCTCTATGTGATACATTCCTAGAAGGGAATTATGAAGCCACAGGTCTTTGCATCTTGTGTTGACAGATATTGCCAAATTTCCCTCTGAAGAGGCTCTAGGTATTTACCTTCCCCCAGTAAGAGCTGAGAGAGAGCACACACTTTTTGTTTCAGAACAATCGGTGTAGAATGTCGGAAAGAACACGAAACATTCCCTGTGTGTACTGATTCCAAGGACATTTTGTTTCCATTGTTGGTGCCCACGTTGCTCACATCAGACACTGCTGTTCCCAATTTACAATGGGCATGCCTGTCCCTGGGGTCCCACACCGCTATCTCCCTCAGAGGGGAGACAGCCACCTGGCTGAGGTCTGCTTCTCCACAGCTCTAAGCCTCTTCTCGTCTCCTCTGCACACCCCGACTCTTGGTCCATCATGGTGCAGGGGAAACTGCTGATCCCATTTATTCTCCATCACCACGAGACAGACTTTACTAGAAAACTCAGCACTCTTGGCCCAACCTCTATTTCTTCACCTCCCACTGTCTCTGACCCTCTCTCCCTTTGGTGAATCATGACCTCCACATGGCTAAACCTAAGGGGCACCTCATCTTGTAGAGTTCCTATCAGACTTCTGGACAGCAACCTGCACTCCGACTAAGCCCTCTGTCCCACCTCCTTCACAGTCTCTCTTCCTTGCATTTACAATCTTGGCCATCTTCTTTTCCCTACTCTGTAGTTTTCCTGGTCTGTCTCATCCCACTATGGCGTTGATTGGCATCTCTACATTTGGGGAATGATGCTTAGGCATTTAGCTTCTATGTCCTTGATTACTAGTAAGATTAAACATCATTTCACAGCTTTTGAGCTTTTGAAATTCTTCTGTTATAAAGTCAGGGTGGAAGCAGAGTAGATGTTGGGTATTAGATATAGATTCCAATCCAGTTCCTGGCTCCTGAGGGGCTCTGGCCCCACACCTCCAGGCCCCCAGAGGCTCTTCTGATTCTCCATGCTCTGGGCATCTGCGTCCACAGCCGCTGCCTTCCCACCACGGTCCCTACACCTTCAGTCTACTGAGGAGAGACAGCCTCATCACCATCATTTCCCCAGCACTGTGCACGCCACCCCCACCTCCCACCCAGTGGACAGGGATAGGCGTCAGCATGCTCCCCTCTCCTCAGCCCTTCCAGGGATATTGTTCCACCACCCCTACTTGACAGCCGTTCTCTTTTGAAGTGCATACGATCTATTACTTCTGCCTTCCTGAATTCTTGGTCTGCTTCCTACACTATGGGCCACTCCACTTTGTTTAGGGACTTTGAACCTCATAGACTTCTCTATCCTTTTCCCTGACATCTACTTCCAGGCTTCAGCATCAAGGTAAGTTTCTTTGTCCACATAATTACTTGACTTAAACCTCAGTGACTTGTATTTCGACTGTATTTTAGACACCCATGTGCCTCACTTCCTCTCCTGTGAATGAGCTCTCTCTTGAATCTCTAACTCTGAAGTTCCTGTTGACTGCAGCTGTCTACACACCCACCTCCTTTTGTCCATCCCATTTGTGGAGACTGCTCTTTAACCTTGGTGTGACTGCAAGTTTTTTTTTGTTTTTGTTTTTGTTGTTTTTTTTTTTGAGAAGGAGTTTCACTCTTGTTGCCCAGGCTGGAGTACAATGGCGTGATCTCGGCTTACCGCAACCTCCACCTCCTGGGTTCAAGCGATTCTCCTGCCTCAGCCTCCCAAGTAGCTGGGATTACAGGCATGCGCCAACCACGATGGGCTAATTTTTTGTATTTTTAGTAGAGACGGGGTTTCTCCATGTTGGTCAGGCTGGTCTCGAACTCCTGACCTCAGGTGATCCGCCTGCCTCGGCCTCCCAAAGTGTTGGGATTACAGGTGTGAGCCACTGCACCTGGCCTGATTGCAAGTTTTATGACCCCTTCCTTTCTCTTGAATCCTCTGGTAAGCTATTCTCTCCATCCAGTCTCCCTATCCAGTCCGAACCGTGTGACCCACCATGTCAACTCAGTGGGAACCAGGAACCTGATGACCTCTCACCCCTCAGCCTTGCATGCTGTTTTGAGCTCCTGAGGATGCTCATTCACCCATGGTTCCTCTTGCATGCCTTCTCCTCCACAAAGACTTCCCTTCCGGCCCTGAAGCTGAGGGGACGGGTCTTTCACTCCAACGCCAATATCACTTGTGCCTCTTTTATGGAATTCCATTCTAACTCAGCCACATACCTGTCCTGCCTCCTCAGAGCGTGAACTCCAGAGTAGGGACAGCTCCAGCCCTGTTCCCCCAGTGCCTGGCCTCCATGTTTGTGGACTAGCCCATGTTGGCTTAATTTGGTGAATGGATAATTTCTGCTTTGGCAAGTGACAGCTTCATCACCTTAGGCTGATAGTACCCAGGTTTCAAAAGCAATGTGTCTTTCCAGAATAGGAGAAAAATGAGTAGAGAAAAAGAATAAAGTCCAGCAGGAAGGTATATATGCATTTTTTTTTTTTTTAAAGAGACATGTCAGAGCCTGGTTACAGGCAAATAGAGTTGGTAAATGCTTTCTCCCAAGGTGCCCGTGAAATTCTGCTAGCATTCAGGGACTCTAGTGGTAAACAGGCTTATTTTGGCAGTGACCGTACATCTCGGTGTCAGGTGATAGCCTTGGCAGAAAGATGTGAAAACGTCGCGTCTATGCTGAAAGGAAAGAAATTGCATCTGTTTTTTTGCTAGTGTAGGAGGACAGGCTTTCCTTATGTAGCCAGTCCTGTGCAGCCAGCCTTAGAAGCAAAGCTGCAGATGCATCCGTAGAAATAATCTGAGGCTCTGCTGCCAGAAGACAACAAAGTGTGTCACACAAGCTGATGCCAACACCCTGCTTGTGCAAATACTTGGGACCCACATGCTGGGCTTGCATCTTTCCGCCTGTGGGAAGTGCAAGCACACATTCCACCTGTTTTCTCAGGAAGGAGAGACCTGCTGTTTGAGATGGGCTGTGGCAGCAGGGACAGGGCAGTCCAGCATTTTAGGTAAATAATCACCGCCTAGATTGGTCAGCCTTCAGTGAAGGTACCTTGGTCTCTCATGGGGGTGGGAAGGTCAGTCTCTGAGAGGCCAAGACAAATGATTAAGAGACAGTACAGTTTAAGACAGCACCAGCTTTATTGGCCACTCAGAGCCTGGAAACCACACTGTGCACCGAGAGCTCACGATAAAGCAATGTGCATTTTCCAGTGCACAGTCAACAAGGCGGCCTCCCCAAAACTAGCTCCGGGGGTTGCGCCAGACATCCATTTCCGGCAACAAGACCATTGATCCTTAAGGGTCCTCTGTCCTGTCTGCGCATGTAGGCTCTGCTGGGCAGGATCTTCCTTTCCAAAGCCCTCTTGTGAGTAAAATAACATTTTAAAAACTATGGTGTGTGGATCAGGCGCAGTGGCTCACGCCTGTTATCCCAGCACTTTGGGAGGCCGAGGTGGGGGGACTGCTTGAGACCAGGAGTTCAAGACCTGGTCTCAATACAAAAAATACAAAAATTATCCATGTGTGGTGGCATGCGCCTGTAGTCCCAGATGCTCACAGGAGGCTGAAGCTGGAGGATCACTTGAGCCCAGGAGTTTGAGGCTGCAGTGAACCATGGTCGTACCACTGCAATCCAGCCTGGGTGACAACGAGACTCAAAAACCAAAACCAAAATAAAAACCTATGGTGTATGGAGGACTTACAGAAGCCACAGAAGCCTCCTGTGTTTACTATCCTCTACGTGCCCCTCCAGATCCACTCTGCAGCCTGGGAGGCTGAGCCTCCAAGTACCACAACACTGAGTTCCCTTCCTTTTTGCTTCCTTTTGGGATCAGCCAAGGGGGACCCCAGCAAGGGACTACAGGCCGGGAACAGCCAGGCATTTCTTCCCTCTCCCTCAGGCCATGGTTTTGGCAGAGGTGCACTCTGCTGCTGTGGCAGCTCCTGCCAGGTTCTAGGAACTGTTCTTCCCTGCCTCTTCTAGCCTAGGGTGGCAGCTGCTTTGTAGTCCACCTTCTTTATTTCCTTAATCTTACCCATGCCTCTGCAAAGAGCTTTCATTGAGCTTTTCTCTTAAACCTTGTGAGCTGTTTCCTGCTCAGACCCTGATTGAACTGTCTGATGGCTACGGGCCCTCTGTCCACCAAACCATATCAAATCGCGAAGTGCAATTTTCAAGTGCACCATGTTTTAATGCATTGTGTTTATATGTAGTTTTGCGGTGAAACAGTCTAATTCCTTCCGACAGTGGCTTTGATCCAAGAAGCCTCCGGTTGGGCTTCTTTGGTCACTGTCACAAGATGGCCTTCATAGGACCTGCTAAGGACTAAAGAGAAGGCAGTAGGGAGGCATTTTTCCTCTAAATTCATGTCTTGGTTCGTGATCTTCCTCCTTTCTTTGTCCTAACACAGCCTCTTGCCTATTTAAGGGGGCATCTGTGTCTTTTCCTATACTGAGTTCAGGCAGATCACAGTACTTAGCTGGCTGGACACAGAAGTAAAACTCCACAGTGCCTTCCCCTTCTGGTCAGCAGCCCTTCCTGCACTCATCTGGGAGGAACAGTGCTTTTGTGTACTTGACCACTCCTTCTCAGCTTCTGGTGATACTCTCACCCTTAGTCTTTGCCTGTGGAAGAGGGGACTCTCTGGTCGTGTCTCTAGAGCCCCCACCTTTGGCCTCTGTGCCGTATCCAGGAACCCTAGAGCCCCAACAGAGGAGCAGTCAGTCCTGCCTGGGGGTCCTGAGTTGTGCCCCACTGCCAGCACTACCCAGGTTCCTTATCAACTTGCTTTCTGCACTTCTAGATTTGGACTCTACTCAAGCCCATCCTGCCATCCACCCTATTTTCTAGAGAATCATCAGGTTTTTTTTTTTAATTTTTTTAAATTTTTATTTATATTTATTTATTTTTTTGAGACAGTCTCGCTGTCACCTGGGCTGGAGTGCAGTAGGATGATCTCAGCTCACTGCAGCCTCCACCTCCTGGGTTCAAGCGATTTTCATGCCTCAGCCTCCAGAGTAGCTGGGATTACAGGCGCACACCACCATGCCTGGTTAATTTTTGTATTTTTAGTAGAGAGGGGGTTTCACCATGTTGCCCAGGCTGGTCTCTAACTGGACTCAAGTGATCCACCCGCCTTGGCCTCCCAAAGTGCCAGGGTTACAGGTGTGAGCCACCGTGCCTGGCCAAGAATCATGTTTTGTACAACTCTACCCTCCCCGCTTTTAGGGCACTCTCTCGTTAGTGCTGGGACTGCTGAAGCCCATGGAGTGTAAACGATGACTGCCACTTTAGTGTGGGGAGTTTGACTGTCCACTTGTAGAAAATCCTGTGTTTAGGGCTAACTTTAAACATGCCCATAATGGCGAAATCCATCAGAATCCAGAGGTAGGTGGCAAAAAGCTCCAATTTGGGGCCAAATTATAAGTCATTAATAAGAAAAGTTACTAGGATTAGCTCTAGAAATCTTGGGTAAGGGGCTAGAAAAGAAATATCTGAAACCAGAAGTGTCTGGTAAATAGCAACTCACATTTATATTTTACTTTCATCTGAGGCCTCACCTCATTTCACACTCTCTTTTTCAAGAGGAATTAGGAATTACGTAACTCTGAAAGCAAAAAATCTCAAAATTATGACAGGTGGTACAGATATTTATTTTCTCAGAGCAGAGTTTGGGCCTAGGCCACGGCTGCCCCTGTAGCTCCCCTCTTGTAAGAGATGCAAAGCTTACTTCTGGGGCACACCCATCTCCAGCTGGAGGTGCAAGCAAAGGCCACTGTGTAAGGAGGCAAAACTCTCCCTTACTGCCTGAAGGATCTCCAACAAGCATATTCTGGAGAGCTCTGACAGGGAGCATTTTACAAGGTCCCACTGGAGCTGAGGCTTGAGGTCAGGTCCAAGTGCAGGCCTCCTTCCCATCACAGCTTCCGAGCCTTCCTGGGGCGGCAGCCGTTGTGTGGGATTGGGGTGTTGTCTGTGATTGAGATCACTTCCAGGCCGCCCATGATCAGTCCGTGCATGGCAGACTGGAAGGAACAGAAGGAAAAGTAGAATGACATGGTCCCAGAAATGATGATCCAGTGTCTCCAGGCAGGGTTCGGAGAGGGACAGGGTGGCGTAGAGAAGGGAACGGAGGGGTGAGATGCTCACTGGCTTTGATACCTATAATCCCAATCCTATTCTACTCTCACAAAGGTCTCCACCCAAACCCTTTAACCAGGTTTTCACACTGTTCCCCTCTCAAACTGTACCCACCACTTTCCACTTTGCACTTTACGATCTGCGAACAAAGACTTCTTGTAGACCTTGGCACACCTTGGGTATCATACTTCTGTAGCTTACTCAGGCAGTTTTCTCTGCCTGCAATGTCCCCCCGTACCTGCTGTGCCTCCACCTCCCTGATACCTCATTATTCCTGCAAAGTCAGAGAGATGTCACCTCTTTGAAGAAGCTAAAGATTATCTGTGCTAATGATCATCAGGAAAGATTATCCCTGCTAGGTTCGGGATCCCCTGATGGGCTCCCAGCGATCTGGGCACATGCTTTACCACAGCGCTCACCAGTCTGTCCTAAGGGATTTGTTTGTGACAGTTCCCCCAGGAACCACCTTCCCATTCCCAGTGCGTGGCACGCAGCAGGCACTCAGTGTCTGATGAATTATACTAAGTGATCTAGGCTTGCTCTGAGGGGCTTGGTCAATTATAGAAACAACAGACGGGAACTTCAAGCAAACATGGAAATCCACTAAAAGGTGTTTTCTACTCTCCCTGTACTCTGCTCTCAAGCCCCAAATTCTCACACTTACTAGGAGGCAAGTACACTATGGAAATCACTGTAACTTACCAAGCGTCCTGGCCCCAGGCCTTTCACCACAACTCGGATGTGGATCACGCCCTTTTGTTTAGCTCTCTGGAGAGAAGCAGAGTGGTTAGTGCCCCGGAGAGAGAACTACTGCATCCAAATCTCTTGCTACTGCCTCCTAGAGCAAGGGGTGTGTGAGCTCAGGGAAAGGGCATCCAGAGAAGTAAACAGGGAGGCAAAGGGCAGATGGCTATAGTGGAGGACAGGCGCCAGCAGAGACCACAGAATTTGGCAGGTTGCAGAATTCACGTGACTGTGATCTGTTTAGCCTAGGACAGCACCGCCACCTAATGGAAATTTCTAAATATTGCTCAGGTTTTTCTCAGGGGGGCAAATGCAGAATTTCAGACCATGAGGCGCCACCCTAGGCTTCAAGGCTGAACCTAAATACCCACTTTAAAAGTATTATCATTTAAAATCTCTAAGCAGTTAGAGTTAAAATTTACTTTCTTGATAATAAAGGCAGTTCATTATAAAAATGGGAAAATATACAGAAATCATTCATGACTCACCATGCAGAAGCCACTGTGAACAGTGACATACTTCTTTTCATAGTATATGATCTGTCCATGGTTGGGCATTTACAGCATTTTGATTTCTGATGATAGTACATGCAATCAATATTTTGGGGTGCCTTCCCTTGTTTGAAGGTCAAGGTTTTCCTTCAGGAAATACATCTGGTTTGGCAGAGTCTGAACATTTGTAAGGCCTGTACTATAGTAGAAATTGTGCAGGCTTTGGTCCCAGACCAATCTGGGTTCCGATCAGTGAACTGAATCGGTGCATGGCTCTGGGCAAGTCACACACTCTGAATCTCAATTGGCTTATGAAAATGTGGATAATACTGAGGGTCTCTGAAGATTCAAGATAATGAATGTAAAGTGTCTGGCACATGTAGATGCTCAATAACTATACCAATAGCAGCACCTTGCCAATTTGCTTCTAAAAAAGGTCTACGACAGTTCACACTGGAACTGGTATTGCTATTGCATGAGTCCCCACGATACTATGTCCTCTCCAAATAGACTATCATATCTCTCCCAACCCCAAACCACTGGTCTTTATTTTTATTTTTTTTCTTGAGATGGAGTCTCGCTCTGTCACCAGGCTGGAGTGCAGTGGTGTGATCTCGAGTCACTGCAACCTCCACCTCCTGGGTTCAAGTGATTCTCCTGCCTCAGCCTCCCGAGTACCTGGGACTACAGGCGCGCACCACCACGCCCAGCTAATTTTTCTATTTTTAGTAGAGATGGGGTTTCACCATGTTGGCCAGGATGGTCTCGATCTCTTACGCCTGCCTTGGCCTCCCAAAGTGCTGGGATTACAACTGTGAGCCATCGCGCCTGGCCTATTTTTAATTTATTTTGGAGACAGGGTCTCTCTCTGTTGCCCAGGCTTTAGTGCAGTGGTGAGATCATAGTTCACTGCAGCCTCAAACTCTTGGGCTCAAGCCATCCAGCCTCAGCCTCCCAAGTAGCTGGAACTACAGGCAGGTGCCACCAGACCTGGCTAACGGTTTTTAAATTGAGGGGTCTTTGGTTCTCAAGCCTTTGGTATCTTGGCTCTTACATCCTAGAATGAACCAACAAGGGCTTCACCTCTAATGAAGCTGAGAGAAAGAAAAAAGAGGAGCCTTTCACTAAACCTTTTCAAACCAATGCTCCAATCAGGGCATCAAAGCTGCCATGACAAACCCTTGCTTCTGAATGGGTAGTATAATGAGGATTCTCCACTCAGTGATGAGCCATGCAGAAAGCAAACACACACTAGAAGGAAGCAGAAGGAACACACACTTACCGCCGCTGCGGCTATGCCTGCTGTCTGTGCTGCGATGCCTGTGCCCTTCTTGGCATTCCGAAATCCCTCTGTGCCACAGGAAGCAAAGGCAAGGGGCTCATTACTAGCAGAGACTACCTGGATCTGTGTGCTGAGAAAAGTAGAAGAAGCACATAGGATACAACTCTTCTTCAGGGAAATAAGAGAGAGCTAATCTATGCCCCTAGAAGCCTGGGTGAGAAAGAAAAAGGAATTCAGTTGCTTCTACTTTGAGCTTCTCAGATGAACATGTTTTGAACTCCTACAGGAAGTATCAGGAAAGGTCAGAATTCTCCCCTAAACCTGACTGAAAACTGGTAAGTCACATAATTTAAAGAGCGCTCCATAATCTGAGAGTAGTTAGTTAAGTATCACCCAGAAAATGACTGTATTGGGGAAAGTTTTAAATATACACAAAAGTGAAGAGAATAACATAAGAAATCTGATGGACTCATCAACCAGCTTCAACAATTATCAACTCATATCCAATTCAGTTTCATCTATAAACCTTGTTCCCACCCCACTCCCCTCACCAATGGATTATTTTGAAGCAAATCCCAGACCTATCATTTTGTCTGTAAATATTTCAGTACATAGCTCTAAAAGAAGGACTCTTAAAAAAATATTAGCAATATTACCATATTGGCTACTTTTTTTTTTTTGAGATGGAGTTTTGCTCTTGTTGCCCAGGCTGGAGTGCAATGGCACGATCTTGGCTCACAGTAACCTCCGCCTCCCGGGTTCAAGTGATTCTTCTGCCTCAGCCTTCAGAGTAGCTGGGATTACAGGCGTGCACCACCATGCCTGGCTAATTTTGTATTTTTAGTAAAGACGGGGTTTCTCCATGTTGGGCAGGCCGGTCTTGAACTCCCGACCTCAGGTGATCTGCCCGCCTTGGCCTCCCAAAGTGTTGGGATTACAGGCATGAGCCACCTCGCCCGGCCTCATATTGGATACTTTTGATGCTTATGACACTATATTCCATGATCAAAAATTATTTTAAACAAGTAAAACTTTTCTCTTTTTTTCTTTTTTATTTTTTTGTGAGACAGGGTCTCACTCTGTTGCCCAGGCTGGAAGTGCAGTGGCACAATCATAGCTCACTGCAGCCTCCAACTCCTGGGCTCAAGCCATCCTCCCACCTCAGCCTCCCAAGTAGCTGGGACTACAGGTGCATGCCACCACGCCTGGCTAATTTTTGTATTTCTTTAGAGACTGGGTCTCACTATGTTGCCCAGGCTGGTCTTAAATTCCTGGCCTCAAGTGATCCTCCCAAAGTGCTGGGATTATAGGTGTGAGCCACTGCATCCACCCACAACTTTTTCTTAATCATCTCTAATAAGTTACTTATTAATACAATTAAGAATGCCTTAAGAAATCCTCAGATATGCTTTGATTTCCCCTTTAGTCATCATCATCCTATTTCTGGTCTGGAGAGCTCTGAGAGCTCACAGAAGGAGGCAGGAGAAGTGACTGAAGGGGAGGCCTGCTGGAGTCAGCCCCGGGCTTGGGCCATCCACTTGTTATCCTGGCTATGGCTCTGACATTCCCCCTACCAGAGCTTCTAGGGTTTTCCATATTGAATAGATGCGTAATTGCTTGTCTCTGTGACAGCCTAAACAGTGCTGTATAGAGTAGACCATAGACACTTAAATGCAGTTAGCCTATGTCCTTATTAGTCTGAGGGGAAGAAAAAGAAATCCAATTGCTGTCACTTTACATTTATCTGACAAATGCTGAAATGAATCCTATAGCATTTCATCTGTGCCACACACTTTAGCCCATGACTGTAGTCTCTTGTGCTGGTCTCTAAATTGCTGGGTGGGTTGGCTGTGACCAAATACTGATCTCATTTCCAAGTGGGGGCCAACCTGTAAAGTTGTCACTAATACCAGCAATGCTTCTGTTGGCAGCATATGTTTGGGAATTCCCTTGGCACTGTCCCCGTCTGTAAGCCACACAAGAACACTAGTCTTGTCACTTTAAACTCACCATCCACATTTAGCTCTACAAGGTGGAGGCCAGTGCACAGTGGCCCAGAGTGGTGAGTACTTTAAAGGGACAATATCTATTTAGAGGTCTAGATTCTGGTTAGTGTATTAATAAATCATATTAATATCTTGAATCATATCTTTTAATTTATATATCATCCATTCCCTACCAGCAACACTTAATAAACACCTTCATGGTGGGACCATATGCCCCTCATACACTCCTTCCAACTCTTGAGCAAAACCAGGAAACACTATTCTCAAGGAAAGCAAAGAATTCTTATAACTAGGATATGCCCACCCTATTTCACATTTTTATGAAACTTGTGTAAGATGGCAGGTGGTTCCTCAAGTGAGGAGGAAGACGGTGCCCTACATTAGCGCCATCATGCAGCACTTAGCACCCTCACTTCTACCCCGGGGTATTCAGGGCCAAGCCTGACTTTCCCTGTGAAGTGGAAAGAATCTCACGCTAGACCTGCCCAGTGTTTCCCTTCCCACTTACTTGTTGTGGGATGCTTTAATGTGTGCAATTGGGATCTCCTCAAATTTCTTTCCTGCCCACCTCAGAGAGCTCTCCTCTCCTGGAATGGGAGGGTAAATGCTGCAATTAGAAGAAAGATTTTATTTAAAATTGTCTCGACTTTTTAAAAATCAAAGAAATACAACACATGGTTAAAAAATAACAGCTCTGTGCCCCCTGCTGCTTCTTAAGTGGCTGCCCCCACCATTCCTTTTCAGTCCTTCTGGTGCCACCACCGCATGTGTGACTGCTGTGCTTATGATGCTGTTTCTTGACTTGCTGACTTCAGACACATCTGGGGACTTTCCGCTATGAGAAGGGATTTTCATGCATACTCCCCATCTTCCTTGTCCCTGCAGGTATACCCGTGTTCATTATTTTCAGATCCTTTGTAGGTTCCTCTTCCCACAATTTAAAAAATACAGTCAAACCTCTGTTTCTTATTTCATCAACCATAGACAATATCTGGACTCTACATTGCAAAAAATGAGACAAAAATAATACTCATATCATTACCATTAAAAAAAACCCAGAATCCCCTAGAATAAAGGACAGCAAACTTTTTCTGTAAAGGGCCAGATAGTAAATATACTGGGCTTTGCGGGCCAACAGGTCTCTGTCCCAATTACTAAACTCTTCCACTATATCCCAACAACAGGTACAGACAACAGTAAATTAATAGGCTGTGTTCCAATAAAACTTTACTTACAAAAACAGGCAATTGGCCAGATTTGCCCAGTCGACCATAGTTTGCCAACCTCTACCCTAGACCAGTGGTTTTCAATGCAGGCTGAACATCAGTCAGCTGTGAAGCATACAGATGTTTAAGCTTCACCCTGGACTTCTGGATGGGGTATGGAAATCAATGTTGCAAATGTCCCAATAGAATCAGATGTGAACACATTGTGTTGCGTTCAAGATCTTCCACTGTCTTAGTCCAAGCTGTCTTCTGGCTATTTCTAGCTAAGTTATCATCTAACTTATCATCTCTAATAAGTTAACTTATTAATACAATTAAGAATGCCTTAAGAAATCCTTAAGGAAAATAAGGATTTTTATTTTCAGATGGTGAAAATTAGGTACCAATAGGGAAATAGGGTTAGCAAGAGAAGCCAAGCCTTGGACCTAGTAGATCTGTCTCAGTCTAGAGCTTTGCTCACCAAGCTGTGCTTTTTAAAATTTGAACACACACAATCATCCTTCAGCAATGGAGCTGGAAATAAACTTGCTGTTCCTCTAGGCCTACACACATATATCAGATTCATGTTTGTACCCACCACAGCCACTTGAAATACAATAGACTCCATTTTAGAAATTATATTATAATCTAAGGACTACTCTCGCCCCAGCCCTACCTGCTTTTCTAGAGGTATTTTAAAAGGCAAATCAAAAACACATTGGTATTCAAAGTTTACAACTATATTCTTTCCTGTGGGTTTGACCTTAGAAGTGATTAGAACTGCCTCGCAATCATACAGCACATACCCTGTTCAATTATCCTTCCATTCTCCTAGATGACTCTTTTATAGCTTCTTTTGTCTCCTCTAACCTCCAACTCCCTGCTTCCTCATTGCTGAGCGGATGACCTCCACAGGGGAATAGAAGCAATCAGACTTTCTCCCAGCTCCCACTACTGAACATCTGTGCCCACAGCCTTTGCGCTCTCTCCTGTTACAGTGCTCCACTTGTGTATTAGCCCCTGAAGGACACTGTTCCCGCAATGTTCCCACTCCAGTATCACTTGTTTTTTCCCCTCTATACTGCACTGCTCCCAATGGCAAAACATATTGTTATGTTCCAAACTGAAAAAATAACAGAACAACCCTCGAAAACCTCTTGAACCCACCTCCTGGGAGCTATTGTCCATTTCTCTATTCCCTTATAGCAGAGCCCTCTTAAGGAACTTTAAGGTACTGACTATACTTGCTGTTTCTTCCTATCCTCTGCTTCTATTCTCCTTGAACCCATTTCAATCAGATATTAGCCTCTACCACTCCACCAAAAATGCTTTAATCCAACTAACTCCACATTACTAAATATAATAGGCAATTCTGTTATTGATCTAGCAACCTATCACATCAGCAGCATTTGACACAGCTGATCTCCCCACCTTGAGCCAAATTAAAAAACAAATGTTCTCTCCTGGTTTTCCTATTACCTCTCTGGAAGTTCCTTGTCTCTTCTGATGGTTCTTCCTAGTCTCCCAAATCTCTAAATGTGAAAGCGCCCCAGGGTTCAGTCCTTGGACCTCTTCTCTTCATCTACATTTATGGTATTAATGATTTTGTCATCTCATGGTTTTAAATATCATCTCTATGATGTCTCCCAACTGTATATCTCTAGCTAAAGTCTGAAGTCTGACTCTTGAACTCCATTTCTTTTTTTGCTTGTTTGTTTTTTTGAGATGGAGTCTCGTCCAGGCTGGACTGCAGTGGCACGATCTTGGCTCACTGCAACCTCCGTCTCCGGGGTTCAAGTGATTCTCCTGCCTCAGCGTCCTGGGTAGCTGGGATTATAGACCCACGCCACCACACCTGGCTAATTTTTGTATTTTTAGTAGAGACGGGGTTTCACCATGTTGGTCAGGTTGGTCTAAAATGCCTGACCCGGTGATCCGCCTGCCTCGGCCTCCCAAAGTGCTGGGATTACAGGTGTGAGCCACCGCGCCCGGCCCTTGAGCTCCATTTCTAATGGTCTACATTGTGTCTCCACTTGAATGTTTATTAAGAATCTCAACCTTAACAACTCCCATCCAAACTCCTGCAGTCTTCCCCATCTTAATCAATGACAACTCCGTCTTTCCAGTTGTTTAGGCCAACAAAATTTGGGGTCTTCCTTCGCTCCTTTTTCTCACACTGTATATTAACAAATCCTGCTTGTTCTACCTTCAAAATATGTCAGACCATTCATAATACCTCCATGGCAATAACCATGGTCCAAGCCACCATTGTTTCTTGTCTGGATTATTTCAATAGTCTTCTAACTGCTTAGAGGACTTTTCCCAGCTTCCATTCTTGCTCTCCAATGGTTTAATATCAACACAGCAGCCAAAGAGCTTACAAGATCTTGTCAGCAAGATCATGTCAACCCTTTATTCAGCAATTTCCATTGGCCTCCCATTTCATTCACAGTAAAAGCTGAAGTCCTCACAACGGCCTACAAAGTCCTACAGAATGTGGCTATGCAGGCCTGCTTGACCCCCACTTCCCCTTTCCAACCGTTATACTCCTACATTTTACTTGTTTTCTATTTACTGTCTTCTACCCACTGGAATTTAAGTTCTATGAGGGCAGGGCTTTTTGTCTGTTTGGTCAGGGATATATCCCCAACACTCTGAACAGTGCCTGGCATTGTTGAAGAAATGACTACAACAGAATCTTGGTTTAGATGCTTTCAGCAGCTCCTCACTGCCTTCAGTGGGGACAGCGTAAAAGCTCCAGTGTGACAGACAAGACCCCTGGCATTCTGATGCCTTCTTGTCTTGTTGGCCTCATCTGCCATCACATACACACCTGAACACACCATGTTTTTTCATACCACATGCCTTTACACAGATGGTTACCTTTGTCTCCAATGACCCACTTCAACTTGTCCAGATGAACTCCCATTCACTTCTGAGCTCCATGTTCTTTTCTCCATGGTCTTGCCTGATTTCCTCAGGAATGAGACACTTATTCTTTTTTTTTTTTTTTTTCTTTGAGACAGAGTCTCAATCTGTCACCCAGGCTGGAGTACAGTGGCGTGATCTTGGCTCACTGCAACCTCCGCTCCCTGGGTTCATGCGATTCTTCTACTTCAGCCTCCTGAGTGGCTGGGATTACAGGTGCCAGACATCACGCCTGGCTAGTTTTTGTGCTTTTAGTGGAGACGGGGTTTCGCCATGTTGGCCAGGCTGGTCTCGATCTCCTGACCTCAAGTAATTCGCCCACCTTGGCCGCCTAAAGTGCTGGGATTAAAGGCATGAGCTACTGCACCCGGCCAGGAGTTAGACACTTATGATTTCATACTTCCAACCAATGCTTACCTCCATTATATTATTGAGCAGATTATGGTTAAAATGTTTGCATGTTTGTCTTCCCTCAAAGACTGTGAACTACTTGTGGGGAGGAATGATCTTTTGTATCTGTATTCACGGCACCTAGCATGGTGTCTCACTCATAGTAGATTCTTGGTAAATGTTTGTTAAATGGATGTGAAGTTAAGTGGATGTGTATACAGCATACAGAGGTGGTGGCACTGGTGGGAAGCAAGATGCCAGTTCCTAGGGCTGAGCACAAAACCCACCCTGGACCATCCGTAAGACGTGCAGGAACATCTGTTCCATCGCTAGCGCCCTCTACCTCCCCATTTTGTTTTGGAGGCAGGGAAGGTTATTGGTCTGAAAAGATCTCCATCTCAGAAGAAAAGAACGCTGATACATGTTATGGATATCTCACATTCACTCATTGATTTAACGAATGTTCACTGAACATTTACTCTGTACCACGGCTCATCTGATTCTCACAACCTCTCTCAGCATTATCCGCATTTTTAGATGAGAAGGCTGAGGCTCAGATTTATTTGCATAAGGTCCCACGGATAGCAAGTGACATAGCTGAAAATTCACTGGTTCTGACTCTGGAGGGTGTCGGGCAAGAGTCAGGGGTTGCGGGTCTCCAGAGGGCTGGTCCAAGTGGGGCTCACCTGAACTTGGTGTGGCTGGGAGCCGCGTTCTGTTCAACTTTCTGCTTGGCCGCAGCGTCTTGGAGCTGTCGAGCGCCTGTGCAGATGGTCCCGGCCGGCGTTCTGGCCACGACCCTGCTGGGAAGAAAAGCTCGGTGAGGGCCACGGCCTAACGGTCACTGGGGCCCGGGTGGCTCAAGGGACACGAGTAGGAGCATAGTCCTGGAGGTGGCGGTGGGCTCGAGGGGGCAGTCATTTGTTACCCGGCTGTCTGGGGCCAAGTCCAGGACCGCAGGAACCGCGACCCCGCGTTTCTCACAGCCTGCATGACTTGAATTGACCCCAGTCAGTTTCCGTCTGCAGCGACAGTCACAGCTGCGCCGGCGCCGGTACCATGAGTGCCTGTCGGGGAGGGGACAGAAGGGAAAGTCATCTACTCTTCATTAGGTCCACTGAATATTTTTATTTCCATTTAAATGCTCAATAAGACTTTCACTGTAGTTCACCAGGGGATTCTTTCCCTTTTTTAATGTTCTGAGATGGTGGGTCACCCCCTCCATATGCGAATGGTTCGTTCTAGCAGTTCCGGGACTGAGCTTTCCCCTAGTTTGCCGCTCCCGCGGCTGAGGGATCCCTGGGAGCCGCGGTGCATTGTGGGAGAACGAAAGATGGCGGCGCCCGTAAGGCGGACGCTGTTAGGGGTGGCGGGGGGTTGGCGGCGGTTCGAGAGGCTCTGGGCCGGCAGTCTAAGCTCTCGCAGCCTGGCTCTTGCAGCCGCACCCTCAAGCAACGGATCCCCATGGCGCTTGTTGGGCGCGTTGTGCCTGCAGCGGCCACCTGTAGTCTCCAAGCCGTTGACCCCATTGCAGGAAGAGATGGCGTCTCTACTGCAGCAGGTGGGACTGAGATGCAGGGTTCAGAGTGACGTTTATTCTGCGTGACTTTGAGCGAGTAATTTCACCTCTCTGAACTTAAGTATACGGTACTTATCCGCAGAATGGTACCTACCTTACTGACTTGGTTTGGTACATAGATGTTCAACAAAAAGTGGTTTCTTTTCATTGGCCGTGTTTATTGTCACCTTAGACAACTCTTTGGAGATACTCTACTTCTTGTTCATGCAACACAATAGGGATCCTGTGGTGAACAAGAATCGGTCCGTGTCACTAGGAGCTTACAAGTCTGGAGGGAGAAAGTCTTTGTGATGTGATGAATGTTAAGAAGGAAATACAAGAGGCGGTGGGCACATCTGTCAGATGCCTATGATAAGCCTACTCTGTTTTATCTCATGGGGCTATCTGTGTGAGGGGCAAGTGAGGAAGCATGGGCAAAAACAGTGTAGTGGCTGTGAAGGTGTGAGGTCGCTACAGAAAGTGTTTGAAGGGTGATATGTTTCCTCAGAATCCGAGATGTTTTTGTCTTGGTCTGTTGAGAACTATAAACTTCTCTTCTGTGCTTTTTGCTTGATTTATTCATTTACTCGCTCGCTTGACAAATATTTGTTACTCAACCTACAGATGTTCATTGTGCCCATACTATGCATCAGAGAGTATGTTAAGTGATAGAGATGCTGTAATGAATAAGGCAGAAGTAGCTCTGGTTCTCAGAGTACTTCAGTCTAGTTGAGTGAGGGGATCAGTCAGTAACCAAATAATCATACAACTAAATGCAGACCCTGATAAGTGTTGTTAAGGAAAACACAAGGCACTATAAGAGTGTTTAACAAATACATCACATTTTGATTTTATGGTGAGTGTCAAGGAATGCCTCAGACTTTCTGAATACAGGTTTTTCTCTTTATGAGAAATGTCTCTCTGAGACAGTCATATTTAAATTGAAATCAGAAAGATGAGTAGGACTCTCCCAGAAGAAAGAATGTGAGGAAAAACATTCTAGGAAGAAGGAACAACCTCTTGAAAGTCCCTGAACAGGAAAGTCCTTGGTGAGTGAGATTCTGATCAAAGACTGACATGACTGGATTGTGGTGAGTCAGCAGGCATTGCCCAACCCAGCTCTCTGTTTTTGTAGCACTCTTGACCCCCAGTGACATTGTAACATTTTTGGCAAATGTAACTCAAGCCCAAAGTTCAGAGGACCTTTTTTTCCCTCCATTTCCTTTCTGCATGGTGTTTTGACTGTGTATCTGGTTATGTTGGGTGATAAACTTCTGAGCTTGCCAAGTGTGCCATGTCTCTGTTTTATTCTTCCTGTTTTTTTTTTCCTTTTAATTTTGCCAGATTAAGGTAGTTTTTTGCCCTTTGAATTTTCCCAGATTGAGATAGAGAGAAGCCTGTATTCAGACCACGAGCTTCGTGCTCTGGATGAAAACCAGCGACTGGCAAAGAAGAAAGCTGACCTTCATGATGAAGAAGATGAACAGGATATATTGCTGGCGCAAGATTTGGAAGATATGTGGGAGCAGAAATTTCTACAGTTCAAACTTGGAGCTCGCATAACAGGTTGTGATCCTTTTAGGCCAGCCAGAAGGAAGGGAAAAGGGGTATTTGGATTCCCAAATAAAAGACAGTTGCTTGGCCCCTGCTTTGTGTTTTAAGTAACAAATAATTTCATATTCTTTTCTTTGTTGCTCACATCTACCATAATACGACTTAAAAAGTCTGTCTTATTTTCGGGTGAGAGGTAAGGGTATTGGAATAGCCTTTTCTCTCAGTTAAACTTTGTGAATGTTATCTGTGTTTAACTCCAAGTTTGAGACTGAGAGTGGGGCAAATGAAGCCTTTTTCCACTAATTCCTGTGTTTTATGTGAAATCCCTCTTAAAGCGGGAGATTGAGTTCTGTTTTCCTTGTTTCACAGATGAAGACTGAAGAACAGAGAAAGTAGGGGCTAGTTAAGTCAGTAATAGTATCAAAACCAATGAAGTAGTTGTGTTTGAATTAGTATGATCATTGTTTCTTTTTTGAAGACTCAAAATATGGTTTGCTGTTCAAAGAAGCTTACCTCTTGATTTCTTACCTTTTAGTTTCCTCAAGATTGTGAGACTCTTCCCTGGAAGAGGTCAGAGTTAGAGAGATGGGTCGAGGTGTAATTTGGTTCTAAGCTCTTTGAGGGCAAGGATTGTGGATCTTAAAGGAAGATTGTAAAACTCCAGGTTTCTTGGTTCTGGCAGATCACAGTCTTCTTACCTCCTCTGACCCCCTTTGCTGTAGAAGCTGATGAAAAGAATGACCGAACATCCCTGAACAGGAAGCTAGACAGGAACCTTGTCCTGTTAGTCAGAGAGAAGTTTGGAGACCAGGATGTTTGGATACTGCCCCAGGCAGAGTGGCAGCCTGGGGAGACCCTTCGAGGAACAGCTGAACGAACCCTGGCCACACTCTCAGGTGGGTTTTCTGCCTTCCTCTAAATTCCACAAAATTCACTTCAGACTCAGCCAGAGGATTTTTAGGCTGACTGGGGAATTGGATTAAGGGTGGGGGTGGGAAGGTTAATGGAAATTTTGAAGTTTATAAAAATTTCAGCCAGAAAAACCCAGGTAAGGATTTTTTTTATTTTTTTTTTATTTTTATTTTTAGACCAGGTGAGAATCCTTTGTTCCACTGAGATTTTAAAATTTAGTACATTCAAAATTGATATTTCTACCATTTTCTCAGCCTGCTTGTCTTCTTATCTTTGCAGCACTGCTTATTGCCATCACTGCTTATCTGTTCACTCAACTTGAAACCTCAGAATTGTCCTTGACCTCATTCCCACATCCATAAGTCCTTGAGTCCCTCGTGATCTGTTCTAAATAGTCCCCTCTTTGTTCTAACAGCTTTAGCTGTGACCCTCTTCACTTCTCACTAGACTAGGGTTTCCCATCTCTGGCATTATTGGTGTTTGGGGTCGGATAAGTGTGGGGAGCTATTCTTTGTGTTATAGGATGTTTAGCAGTATCTCTGGCCTGTACCTACTAGATGCCAGTAGCACTACCTCATCCCCTGACCCCACCCCCAGTGCAGTAACCAAAAATATCTCTAGACATGGCCAGATATTTCCCAGGGAGCAAATTACAGTGGTTGAGAAGTACTATACTGAGCTATTGAATTAGATGCCCAGTAAGTTTAACCTTGGTTTTGTGGAGTGCCCTTCAGTGCTGCCAAAATGAGCTTTCTGAAACACACATCCCTTGTCACTTCTCTGCATGGAATTCTTAAAAGGTTTCCAATAAAAATTCTAACTGTCAAGCATGGCCTGCAAATCTTATTTGCCCTGATCCCAGTCTCATCAGTCTGCCGTCTTGCTGTTCATTAATGTAAAATTCAAGTTCTAACTTAACAAACCTTTTGCATTCCTTGAATAGTATGGTCTTTCATGTGTCTCTGCTTTGGGGCCTGCTGGTCCCTGATGAAATACTTTACTCCTTCCTGGCCTGACTGCTCAGTTTTTAAGACAGTTTATACATTATACCGTATGTGGTGAAACCTTTCCTGAGCCTTCAGGAAGACAGAGCTACTCCTCTCTCTAGGCTCCCGTAGCACTGGTGTGTGTCCTTATTCCATTTATGCAACAGACATATAGGGTCTCAGTGATGAACAGGACACTACCCTACTCCCTAGGAGCTTGTGTTCTAGTGGAGAATACATTCTTTCACTTATGCCATTGCACTATAATTGTTTACTAACACATTTTTCTCCCTAGTCAGAATTTTGACTTCCTTAAACATGTGGGCAGTATCTGTTCCTCTCTCTGATCCTAGCTTTCAGCAAAGTACCTGGCACATAGGCATTTGTTGAATGTTGACTAAATGGATTTGGTGGTGCACAGCCACTTTACCTGCCCTCCCATCAGCACAAGTACCTGCTAACGAAATGTCGGTAGCCAGTGTGTGTTCCCTTGACTCTCCCAAGGGGCCTGTGTGGCCTGCAGGAGAGACATCAAGACAGAATGGAATATGGTAGGAGAGGAGGTTGCTGCTTTCTCAGTCTCCTCAGCCATCACATAGGAGTCAGCAGCTGAGTTTCTTGCGAGGATCATTGTGTCCAGATGCTCAACGTCTCTTAACGTCAAACATTCACAACTGATCCTTGCTCAGCTCCCCTTTCTGTTTGCAGTGAGGAAAGGGGTTCTACCCAAGCACTATGCTTTCCTTTAAACATTGCCATTGTAATAAGTAAATGTAAAAGGAAATATATCAAATATATTAAAACACATATTTATGTTTAATAGATGCATATAAAATAGTGTATTGACTTATTACAAATTTACTAAACTGACAAATAATATAAAATGGCAAAGAAAAACTCAAGCAATGTAAGAGTATATACTGTATATTTAAAAAGTGAAAGTGCGCTCCTTTCCTCCCCTCTGGCTCCACACTGCCAGTATTTCTGCAAGATGGAATTTCTAGCGGTAGAATTAATGGGTCAAAGATGTGCACACTTCAGTTTTTGGTAAGTGCAGCCCAGTTGCCCTCCAGAATGTATATAACAATTGACGTTTTCCAGGAGTGGTGTCTGAGAGTGCCTCTTTGTCTAAACCTCACTGACACATGAAATAGTTGCTTTTAAAATTTTGCTCGTCTAGTGAGTCAGATGATCTCTTTCAGATTAGCATTTTCCTGTTTGCTAGTGAGATTCAGTATCTTCATGTGTTTATTGGCTGTTTGTACTTCTTCTTTTGTGAACTGCCTATTTAGATCGTTCGCTCATCTTTGTAATAAGCTGTTTTTTCTTTTTAATTTGTTTATATTTTTAATCCATCTTTTCCAGATTATAGAAAAGTAACATGCATTTATGGGATTAAGTTTAGAAAATTCAGGAAAGTGTAAAGAAATATGCCAATACAATTCCACCACTCACAGATACCCACTGCTAACGTTTTTTACTTTATGTGAGCTCACACTATCTATAAATTTTTCATCTAATGCTAGGTAGTGTTTTTTTTTTTTAGTATGAGAAAAGCCATTCACGTATGTGGTAAAAAAATTATCGGTGTCTCGTAAATGTAGTGTAAGATGTAATTTTCCTTTTTCAGAAGCAACCTCTATTAATAGTGTTTTTCTGTATCTCTTCAGAAATTCTCTATGCATATACAGATGCATAAATGTTTTGTTTTCTTTTTTTGCATATAACGGGAACATGTTTATACACTGTTGTGTGCCTTCCTTTTTTCTCATATACGCTTTTAAACATCTTTTCAGGTCAGCCTATTAAGACCTATCTTAAGCTTTTTTTAACACCAGCATACTATTTTATAATATGTATGTACTGCAGTTTGTTTAGCCAGTCTGTTTTTACAAACAAAGCTGCAGTGAATATCCTTGTATGCTCATCTTTGCTCACATGGGCAAATTAGTATATCTGGTAGGATAAAAGTCTAGAACTGGAGTTGCTAGGTCAAAGGGCATGTGCAATTAAGTTGACACCTCTTGCCAATTAATAGCACTTATACTAATTTATAACCCCTCCAAAATATGTGTGAAAGTACAGGTTTTTTCCTTATCCTTCATAAGCAGAGTACAGTTAAGTTTTTGAACTTCAATAATGATATATGTTGTTGTTTAACTTTATTTCTTTAAATTATTAATAAGTTTGAACACCTTTTAATGTATTTATGGGCCAGTGATATTTATTTTCATGTGAGCTTAACTGTTCATGTGCTTGGTTCATTTTTCTTTTTAATTTGTTGTTTTTTTTCCTCATTGATTTTTTTTCCTTTAGAGATGGAATCTTGCTATGTTGCCCAGGCTGGCCTTAAACTCCTATTCTCAAGCAGTACTCCTGCCTCAGCTTCCTGAGTATCTGCATTGATTTTTAAGTGCTTCTTATACCTTAAGATATTCCTTTGTTGAACGTGTTGAAAATATTTTTCCTAGTTTGTCATTTTGTCTTTGACTTTTTTTGTGCTTCATTTTTCCTTGCAGAAAGATTTAATTTTTATGTAGACAAATATAAATCTTTTGTTTTTTGGGCTTAAAAATTTTGTTTCTTGCTTAGAAAGGCCTTGCCCTCTCAAATAATATCTTAAGGTTTAAGAAAGCATCCTGCATTTTCTTCTAATGCTCATGTGTTTTTATTGTAATTAGAAAATATGCCCTGCACTTTGGGAGGCCGAGGTAGGCGGATCACTTGAGGCCACAAGTTCAAGACCAGCCTGACCAACATGGCAAAACCCCGTCTGTACTAAAAATACAGAAAAAAAATTAGCTGAGTGTGGTGGCACATGCCTGTAATCCCAGCTACTCAGGAGGCTGAGGCATGAGAATCCTTTGAACCCAGGAGCCTGAGGTGGTAGTGAACCAAGATTGCACGACTGCACTCCAGCCTGGGTGACAAAGCGAGACTCTGTCTTGGGAAAAAAAAAATACAGAGAAGATTGGAAAATATTAAATGTCCATGAAACAACCATCCAGAATGAATAAATTTTTTATGAAAAGTTAAAATGTCTATTGTTAAATCTTTGATCTATATGGTATCAATTTTATTGTGAGGACTGAGTATGGAATCCAGCTTGGTTTTTCCCATCTGGCTAATCAGTTCTTCAGATGCCGTTTAGTAATTAGTCCATCATTTCCCCATCATTTGAAATGCTGAATTGGGGTTGTTAACCCTTAGTTATAGATTACAGATACTGTCTACTCATCTGTTTTTGTCTTTAACTTGGTTTATGCCTTTTTTCACTAGGTAGGAGTTAAAACTGGGGTCCTTTTTAATGCTTTCCAGGTGACACCCATTTTAAAGGTGGATGAACTTTGTTTTACAGACCAAATGTCCTCGTCCTTCACCAGCAGATAGCGACTGGGCTGATTCACCAACAGTTAGCGACTGGGCTGATTCGCCAACAGATAGCGACTGGGCTGATTCGCCAGCAGATAGCGACTGGGCTGATTCGCCAGCATAGCGACTGGGCTGATTCGCCAGCAGATAGCGACTGGGCTGAATGTAGGAACTAGGTGCTCTGACTCCCAGGTGTGATTGTAACTGTGTTGCTGACTTTCAGTCTAAAAACAGTAGCTTGGCACATGGGAGTGAGCCTGGTGAATCTGGACTCCATGGGCCAGGAGGCATTTGGATTGAGAGGGGAGGAGCCTCTTTTCAGGAATGGCTCTAGTCCTATTCCTAGGGATTGATTTTACCTCAGGGCCAGATCTTGCAGGGACCCCCTATAATTTTGGGAGCCAGAGTAAACAGATGGCTGTATCCTTACCTTCCAATTGTGATTTTTCTTTCCTCCCTCTTCAGAAAACAACATGGAAGCCAAGTTCCTAGGAAATGCACCCTGTGGGCACTACACATTCAAGTTCCCCCAGGCAATGCGGACAGAGAGTAACCTCGGAGCCAAGGTGTTCTTCTTCAAAGCACTGCTATTAACTGGAGACTTTTCCCAGGCTGGGAATAAGGGCCATCATGTGTGGGTCACTAAGGATGAGCTGGGTGACTATTTGAAACCAAAATACCTGGCCCAAGTTAGGAGGTTTGTTTCAGACCTCTGATGGGCCGAGCTGCCTGTGGACGGTGCTCAGACAAGTCTGGGATTAGAGCCTCAAGGACATTGTGTGATTGCCTCACATTTGCAGGTAATATCAAGCAGCAAACTAAATTCTGAGAAATAAACGAGTCTATTACTGTGTTGGTCTCAGCTGATTTGCCCTTTGATGGCCCAGTGAAGAGAGCCATCTCTTAGGGTGTCTTTCCATTTTTTTCCCAAGGTGATCACTGAGTACTGGATTATATTACAGTGCGTCACTGAGTTACTGGGCCCAGGAAGAAAGGACAGAAGGAAATGAATTGACTTCCCGAAAGCCTTGAATTCTGTGAAAGCTTCTCTAGGCCCTTGGGAAAAAACTAGTTCTATATAGTTTCTTAGCCATTTCCAGTTTGTTTTTCCTTCCCTCTGCACTTGATATGAAGGTGTTTTAATCTAGCCTGGGAAATAATCCTTCCTTCTTTCCCCCCCTTCCTAAAAGCATTTTATTTTAAAAAGAATTGAGTTATGTCTTAACCTTTTTTGAAACAGTCATGTGAAATGTGCAGTTAGTTTATCTCCATTCTACAGATGGAGGAATCACGGCCAGGTTGTGACTTAGCCCAGAGTCATACTGCATGTGCCTGTTGGTGCTAGAGGAGAATGCTGACCCCAATGCCCCTCACCTCTGGGGCTCTTGGCTCTTCAGTGTGTTGTTTGGGTCCTCACTGGTCCCCAGTGCCTGGCACATACGAGGCACTCAGTAAACATTTGTTAAGTGAGTGGCAGAGCATGGGGAACTCAGGCATACCTTTGTCTGCCCAGAATAGTGGTTTTAGTCTGCAGTCCTGGATTCCCATCAGATGCTTCCTGGTTTCGTCTCAGACGGCCTGGGTTAAACAGGCTGTGAGCACATGAGATGGGATTTCTGTTTCTGCATCAGCTGCAGCCTTGTGTTCTTGCCCAGGGTCAGGGAAATTGCTTTCTTAATCAAAATTGAGGGGCCTAGGCCTGATACTCCTCTGCTAACCTTTTTCCTCCTGCATGTGTGCTCTCCCCTGCATGACTGAGGGGAGATGTCTCCTGGCATAGGCTTGCTGATGGTGAGCTGTAGTGGCGCCTTTGTAGTGAAGCCTGGGCACAGCCACAGGGCCAGGATGCACTTTCTGGGTTTTGGAGTGACTTGTGTGTGAACTGTATTGCATATTCTTAGGGCCACGGGCACCTCTGACCTAGAAGGGAAGGAATCACCAGAGTGAAGTGACTATTTTCGTGACCGTGCATGTCTGTAACAACATTGTTTTTTTGGTGAGAAATAGCATATGTGCAATTGGGAAATAGAGAAATGGTGTCAGAATGACCCAAAGTTAAGTTAGATTTTTCTGCAGAACATTAATGTTTTTAAATGATCAGGGACAAGATTGAATAGCTTAAGAAAAAAGCTGAAAATTTTCTAGAAGCACCTTCCTTTATTGCAAGTAGGGGCTGGTTTAGTAACTTCTAGAAGCACTGCTAGCCTTTCCATGATGTTCAGCTCTCAGGGGAAACTGTGAGTGGAATGGAAGAAGCTGTGAAGACACCTCACCCACCTTGTTTTAAAAAATTGATGAAGAAGGCCCTGTCCTGGATCACAGTTTTAATTTTGATGGAATGCATCTCTGCTAAGATTACATATCAAAGAACCTACATCTCAGGAAGCAGTATAAGCCCCAGGATTTAAGGCTGCTGGGGACTGGTGTACAGGTGGTGGGGGTACTGCATTAGCATCATCATTAGGCTTCATTCTCTTTTGTTATTGCTCTGGTTACAGAATTCCATAGGTTTTGAGTGGTCTGCCCCAACCCCCTTTTCTGTTATTTTTGGAGTGTGATATTGCAGAATGCAAGATTTTTAGCATTATAGTATAAATAACTATATTTGCTGAGTGCCAGCTTGAATCTTCTACCGGCTGGCAAACATGACCAAAAAATTGTTTCTAGTGTATCCTTTGGGGGAAGATTGCCAGGGAACAAAATAAGATGCTATGTTCTCAGTGTGGGAGGACAGCGTAATGTGTGTGGTGCTGTGGGGATTAGGAGTTCCAGTTTGAAGTGTGTTTGTACAACCTAAGAAGAGAAATGCCTCTGTGTGTGTGTGTGTGTGTGTGTGTGTGTGTGTGTGTGTAACATGTACAACAGACCACCCAGTTCACTGAAAGGATCCTTCAGTTGTTAAGGTTTAGCCTTCGCCTCTTGGTCATTGTTTTCCCAAATGATTTCTGGTCTCCTTGTTTTCACCTTTGCTGGTTCTACAGAGAAAATACTGCCCTGCTTACAAACTTGTTTTCCTGGTAACTTATTTTCAAGGGTTACTTCCTGCTGGGCCATTTCTATGCCTTGTATGTGCTTCTACACTTAACACTTTATAGGATAATTAGTTGTTAATCTGGCTCCTATACAGGTCAAATATCCCTTATCTGAAATGCTTGGGAGCAGAAGTGTTTTCAGATTTCAGGTTTTTTTGGATTTTGGGATATTTGCATTATACATAATGAGATATCTTGGGAATGGGACCCAAATCTAAACATGAAATTCATTTATGTTTTATATACATCTTATACACAGATTACCCGAAGGTAATTTTATACAATATTTTAAATAATTTTGTGCATGAAACAAAATTTGTGTTAAGTACTTGATGTGTGGAGTTTTCCACCTGTGGTGTCATTGAGGCCCTCAAAAAGTTTTGGAGTTTGGAGCCTTTTGGATTTTGGGGTTAGGAATGTTCATCCGTACCTACTGGGCTTCAGAAACTGTGTGCAGATTAGCTCCTTTCCCCATGAGCACTGGACTTGGGGTCAGAAAACCTGGATTTGAGTTTTTATGACCTCAGTTAAGTTACTGTTACTGTTGATGACAGCGTAGTGACTCCTGAGTGCCAAGAGCCTTGTGAGTGCCCTTACTTACAAGCTACGTTGTTATTTAAACCAGCAGGGCAGGCATCTTTATCCCTATTTTATACATGAGAAATAAACTCAAGTTAGTTAGCTTACTTAGAGTTACTTCCTAGTAAGAAGTGGGGCCAGAATTCGAACCTAGACCTGTATACAAAGGTAGTTCTTAACTTTTCTTAACTTTACCTTTCTCATCTATAAAATGAAGATGATACTTCTTCTCAGGTAATGTGGTAAGTTATGCGAGAGTACTTAGCACCATGTGTGGCTTGTTATAAACACTCAGCAAATGTTTCCCTCCTTCCAACATACTTAGGCTCCTGAATTCTGCTCCTTCATTTAGCTGTAACATCTTTAGCTTTTACAACTCCCATTCTCACCTTTTCTAAGTTATACATTGTGGCAACCAAGCATTTCTGACCTATTTGGAAAGGGATGTGAGTAACTTGGACATTAATGGTTTCCATCCATTAATGCCACACACAATGGATGTATGGCAGGTAAGTCCCATAGCCAGCCTCATCCAGCTGGTTGGGCATGTTAGCTCTGTCCCACCCTGGGCCAGGAAATCCAGAGCCACTGTTAGGCACAGGCTTATGGGCACTAAAAACAGAAAGGATTTGCTGACCCGTTCTATTACCCCAACAGGGGAAAAGGAGTGCCGCTGAAAGGTCAGCAACCCAATTATTGAAAGCTCACAGATCGCTAAGCTTCAAACACACATAGCAAGATAAAGCCTGTTTGCCTGAAATCTCAGGGTAGCCTCAGCCCCTACCCTTCTCCGCTTTATTTTCTAGAAGCACATCGAGCCTGGATTATGGCCAGTTACTTTAGGCTATCAGTCGCCTTTCACCTGTCTTGGCATTTTGGTGCTTAAAACAGGAAGCGAAGGAGGAAAGTGTTCTCTCTGTGGTCAGAATAGGTGCTGTTAAAGGCTCAGGAATAGGTCCAGATAGCTGAATCACTGCTGTAGCTGAGGGGCTGGGGCTGGAAGGTCCCCTGCAAGTCAGGAGATAGGCACTGCCAGGGAGGGTCTTACTAGCCTAGAGCAAGACATAGGTGCACATGTGCACGCATACATCCCAGCTACCCTACTAAGCCACTCTGAAGTGGGCCTGAGAAGCCGGCCCCAGGTTTTATTCAGAGGCTTTGGCAGTACAAACAGAGCATTGATTGCCCAAGTGTCAGATACCAGGCCCCAAGTAGCTGCTGAGTGGCTAAGGTGGGTGGGGGAGAGAGACTCCCAGGTTCTCCTTTGGCCCAGTAGGGGAAAACTGTCCTAATGTAGTCAGATGAGGGCACTGAGGCTAGGGCTTTTGGGAATGACAGGGCTAATAGACAAAGTTGAGAACACCCTGGGCCTAAGGGGATTGGGACACACCTCCAGGTCAGAAAGCCTTGGGGTAGATCAGGCTGAGAAAAGGAGAGAGAGGATATCCCCAGACCGAGAAACCAGATGGCAGCCCAGAGTGGAAGGCGGGGCTTTATGACAGCTGGAGCGGGCTCATACGCATGAGCACCACAAGGTGGCAGGGTTTGCCTGGCATCTGCTCTTCCAGAAGTAGGCTGTCTCTGGAAACCTTCACGAAACCTGGAAACCTTCTGGAAACCTGCCTGGCCTTAGGCTGCTGCCCTTGGAGAAGCTTCGTATCTCAGGCTGAGCAGAGTCCCCAGCACCCAGTCTCCTGGGGTTAAGCAGCAGCCAGAAGCTTGCTGGCAGCCAACCAGGACAGATGTGGGGCACTCATGGCCATCCACCCCCATGCATCAGCTCCAGGGAGTGTCACAGATGGACGCCATGCCCTTGGGAGGGGAGGGCACCCAGACTGCCATGTGTTAGGACCACTTCATGTAGCCTTGTGCTAGGCCTGCATGTCCACAACATAATCTGACTCACCTAAGAATTACGTTGGTCTTGTGTGGCATTTTTAGATCCATAGACAAGCTTGGAGAGGGGAGGAGACCCTGTGAAGGTCTCAGTCAATGCTTGGTAGAGCCAGGATTTGAACCCAGAGCTATGTGATTCTAAAGCCATCCATTGTCCCATGCTGCCTGGACCCCTGCCTTTGTATCATGGAATTCCTGAACTGGTCATGGAGGAGCAATCTACTGCAGGCTCATGGACCCCTTGGAAAGCCTGAACTGGGGTGATTTGTGAGAATATGAAGAGGATTGACATGGAGAACAGTGAGGCTGAAGGGATTGGAATTATTTGAACTTGGAGAAGGGAATGGTGAGAGTCATGGTTTTTGAGTGTGTATATTACTTACACAGAGGATGTCCATTAGTCATCTTGGTCTGAATTAGAGGAAGTAAGCAAGCGTTAAAATGCAACAGTAGGAATTTTGAGAAGTTACACATGGGAAGAGTTCCTTGACATTTAGGATTATTAAATATTAAAGTGAGTTTTTATTTGAAGATGCTACTTCTTAGTACAAAAATCAACAGTTAAAGCACAATTTGGGAAAGCTAATTGGTAACAGTGGGTAAGAATCTCCATGAGTATTAAAAATAAAACAAGAACAAATGCCATTAAAAATAAGGTCAGTTCTGAGTAGTCCAATAGATTAGTCTTTTTCAGTTTGTCAATCACCTCACCACATTTTCTACAAGACGGTAAATCTTGATGACAAGGAAAAACCTCAAATAAAGAGAATTCTTGAAACATCCCAGTTAACCCTTCAACAAATATTTGTGGAGGAGGTTGCTTTACAGCCAAGCACTGGGAATAAAATGGAGACCAAAATACTCTTGGCCAACATCCTCAGTTTAGTGCTGAGGGTGGTGGGGGAACCCTGCCTGTCAACAAGCCAAAGGGAGCTGTGCTGTGCACCAACCCTGTGAGGGCCTCAGAGCAGGCCTCAGAATAGAGGGGAGAGAGCCAGGGAATAGAAGAGAGTAGGAATCACGTGCACAAAGCCCAGAGAGGCCTGGAAGAAGCTCTGTGGGGCTGGAGGGCAGTGCATATGGGAATTATTTTACAGTGTTTTAGGTTCTTAACTGTCCAAGACAGCTTAAGAGTAGTTTTGTCTGAAGGCAAGAGAATGAGTTCCATGATGCCTTGTGCAGAATCACATCTAACCTGAGGGCTGGATTCTAAAGTCACTGTATAGGTCACAAATAATCTATGACTAAAGTTACCATGGAAATATCCTTTAGAAAGGTAACACATTGGTGACTGGCCAGGTCTCTCCGGGAATCTAACATGGCCAGTGTTTCTTCTAGAGGTGGAACCAATCATGATTTATTTGGAGGAGCACAAGATTAACCAGTTGGCTTGTGTTTCGGGGCCATGATGTATAAAATACTAAGATTCCTATCCCTGTCCTTGAAGGGCTGTTGACTGCAGGTCTGTGCCCCATCCCTTAGAGGCTTGAATGGAGCGGGCTGGGAGAATATGAAGAGGATTCTGAATTACACCAAATATGAGATGTTTGCACAAAGACAGACATTCGAGGTCCTAGATGGAGTCACCTCATCCATCCGAGGCTAACTCCAGAGCAGGAGCCCATGGAAGAAAATAGTGGATGAAAATGCCTGCACTGTTTACAGTATTATTTGTCTCACCTTTAAAATTCTTGCTGTAATAGTTCGAATTTATAAAAGTCAAATGTGTGTATGATGGAATTCTGTAGACTCCACAGTATTCCTTTGGTTCCCAGTAGTTTCTGTAGCTCCCTGCACACTGCCATCCACAACAGCTAATTATCAAGCAATGAAGCTTGTATTTTAATGCGTACATGCAAGGGAAGCTTAGCCTCAAGGGGGACAAATTCCCTTTTTTTTTTTTTTTTTTTTTTAAAGAGAGAGATTTGGGTTTTGGAGAAGTTCTTAAGCCAACAATGGGAATGATGAATGATTAAGTGATTAAGTTGGGTCATTCTAGCCTCAGCCAATAAGAATATGTGATGATGAGTAATGATTGTAGACTATTTGTTGGGCGCAAGATGGACTGTGAAAGCAGACCCCAGAATTTTACTGGGCCATGGCTGCATCCATACAGTAAAAATTTAACTTTTTAAGGTGGCTACTTTGAAACTCATTTGGATGAAAAAGTCTGTTTATTAGGGCAAACTTTATGTGTCTTATCGTCCCACCTCACGCACAGCTGTCTTTGAACACCATTCTCTTAGCCATTCTTTATGCACGTGTGAGCCTGAAAAGTTTAGTATGCATTTCTGTCCCCAGCGAAGACAAATGGCCACATTTCCTTCTATGGATATAGGGAACATTTCTGTACACTCTGTTCTTCCATCCCTATGTCTTCGCACCAGTTTCTCTCTCACACACACACATACACACACACACTCTCTCTCTCTCTGTCACACACTCTGTCACACACTCTCTGTCACACACACACACACCTTGGATGAACATCACATCACACAGCTGTGAACATTCACATCACATATACACCTCCTGAACATTCACAGCACACACACACATGTCCCCCAAGAGCTTTAAATATTCTCATCACACATACACATAGTCTTGAATGTTCGCATCACACACAAACACTTGGGTGTTTGTTCCTATCACACACAGGTATAAAGCTTGTTCTCCGTCTGATACATGCATACCCTTGAACGGTCACACTAAAACACACACATGCACACTCTGCCGACACACCTTTGAAGCTGATATAATACACACGCGTATTCTTGAACGTTCACGTCACGTGTAGGCTTGAACATGCACCTCACACACTGGGGCATTTGCCTGTTGCTCTCAGACCCATTCCCTAGTCTTTCCCTGCTGTGTTTTGTAATGCATATGTATGTGTGTGCATGTTGGGGAGGGTGTTAACCACTGCAAATTACATTTCTTTCTTTTTTTTTTTTTTTTGAGACAGAGTCTCACTCTGTCGCCCAGGCTGGAGTGCAGTGGTGGGATCTCGGCTCACTGCAATCTCTGCCTCCCAGGTTCATGCCATTCTCCTGCCTCAGCCTCCCGAGTAGCTGGGATTACAGGCGCCCACTGCCACGCCTGGCTAATTTTTTTGTATTTTTAGTAGAGACGGGGTTTCACCGTGTTCGCCAGGATGGTCTCAATCTCCTGACCTCGTGATCTGCCCGCGTTGGCCTCCCAAAGTGCTGGGATTACAGGCGTGAGCTACCGCGCCCGGCCTGCAAATTACATTTCTTAAACTTTTTTGCCAACTGGATTCCAGCTGGATTTGGCCATAAGAGGTACCAACAAGAGACTGAAAGGAGGAGCAGCCAGGTACTTCTCCTCATTCTTTTTGTGTGTGGCAATCCAGCATCTACTCTGGGCCCAGCTCTGCTGGCAGCTGCCTTCATGATTCAAATTTCTGCAGGTAGTCGAGGCTCCTGGGAGCACCACGTCCTTCCTCTGTCCCCCCAGCCCTGGGAGTGGCAGTGACTTCTAACTTGCTAATCTCTGGGGTGTTCCACCATCCTCTGTTTTCATTTTTCAGTCTTTCCAACACGTTTGTAACTAGTTCCTTATATTAAACTCATTCTTCTGAACTACCTGGCATGGCTGAGTTTTTCCTGATTGGACCCTGACTGATGCTCAGCCAACGCCCACAGCTCACCTTAATAATTGTCTCAACTCTGACCTACAACCTTTCCTCCGACTGTGATCAGATTGCTGTTGGACCAAATCCTGGTACAGAGTTTTCAGTATTTGTTGAATGAATGAGTACAGTGACAACCCCTGTCCCCCCTACCACCAGTCCCCACTGTTCTAGAATTTTTCTGGATAGAGCTTGTTGCATCCCTGAGCCCATGAACTGAGTGGCTCCGGGACGTCTTCATCCCTCTCCAGATGGATTACAAATGACAACAGTGACGACACTGGTCGTCTTGGGCAGAGCCCATTTGGAGAGTGGAGGGTGAACCCTCAGTCGAGTCAGGCCCTTGTGGAAACTTCAAGGGGCATCAGGCATAAGCAGATTTTGCAATAGTAGACCAGATGTGGCTTCAGAAGCAGGGGGACTATCACTACCTGAGATAAACAGGAAAGAATGAGGTCGTCTCTCTCCCCAAAGATTTAGGTGCATGTATTGTATGAGGATTGGTCCTCAAATCTAAATTTCTAGCTTTGAAACTGACTTGGGCAAGCTGCTCTCTGCCTCAGCATTCATGCTTATAGAATTATGAGGTGCTATTACAGATCACTTCTTCCTTTTTGCAGAATGCCTAAGGAACTGTTTGATCTTGAACAAGTTATCCACCCCCATGTGGGCTTCGGGTTTTTCACTGACAACATAAGAAAGTTGCCTCCACAATCCTGGTGGGGACTGCCAGAGGCTGAGATAGATGTTGGCAATCAGGGTCGGTCCCAGGCAATACCTGTGGTGTCCACAGGGAGGCGCCACACACAAACGTATACACGTCCCAGACGCTCCAAGTCGAAAGCTGTGCTGCCGGTCCGGAAGCCCACGTTCCCTCTTCCCTCACACCTCCTGGCATGTGAGCATCACGGAGTGACCATCTGCCTATTACAAATTGAGTGAAGGCATTGAAGGCCACTGCAAACATGCAGCTGTATTGGGAGGCAGAAGTCACCAACCAAGTCATTAACACATTAGGGTGAGTTGATGGGATTAAGCAGAGTCATGAAGAGGGTGTGGGAATTCAAGACAGGTGAAATGTGAAAGGGTAGACAGAGCCAGGAAAAAAGGTAATAACAGCAACATCCTATTGTTTTCCCATGTATTTGATTCAGTTTAACGTACTTTTGCTTTGAGTAGACTGAGAGGCTAGATTCTCTCTGTAGTCTGGCATCCTAATTTTTGTGACCCTCACAAGATGCCGGAGGAAAGCAGGGTTGTATAAACCTCACTAGGAGTAAGGGCAGCGTGGAGCTGTGGAAGTGATGTGCGTGGCCCCGCCTCAGTCTCGTGAGTGGCAGAGCTGGGACTTAAATCTAGTCCTCGTGATCCAGGGACCAGGTTCATGAAGGGCACTTTGGGGTTCTGGAGACAGCCAGTAGGGTGGGGCGCCTGCCTCAGGATGGTCTTGGGTTAGCAGCTCCTGACATGTGACAGGGAGGCAATCCAGGCCTGTGCTCACGCATGGCTACATGCAATGCAAAGCAAGGTGGACTCTTTAAATAACCTGCCTCCACCTTCTTGCTTTACATTTGGGGATAACCAGGCTTAGAGACAAGAAGTCACCTGTCTTAGACCTCACAAAGAGTGGAGGCAAAGGCAGGAGATTCCAGGAGTCCTGAATCCCAGCCTGGGCTTTTGCCCACATGCCATGTGGGGTTTGCCTGGCTGCAGCATTTCAAATCCCTGATGCTTTCTGGGAGCCACTGGGAGCCCAGGGTCTCCTCCCTGTGCTCAAATACCAGGCTTCCGAGGAGCCAGCGCTGCCCTGGAGGCAGCATCTCCTTAGCCTCCTGGCAGAGCTGCTTGGCTTTCAGAAGCCCTGTCCAGTAGAGCAGGGATTACCCAGCATGCTGGGCCTGTGGAGGCGGAAGAACCAGGCTCTTTGCTTTGCACAGCCCTCCCTGGGATTACAAGATAATGCATATGAAGAGACATTTGCTTATCCAAGTTCATGGATTATGTGGAAATCAAATTGTAGTAATCTCCCTGGCCATCTGGTCTTGATGCCTCTAGCCAGGATCTCCCAGAGGCCTGCTCAGGCCCCCGTGCAGGGCTTGGGCAAGGGCCGGATGTGCTTTTGATGCCTGGAGCCAGGCCAGCATTTTCCAACAGGCCTAGAAGGCCAGGAGGGTTTATACCCCCAGTATCCGGGAGCAGACGGCAGGGCAGGGCCAGGCAGCTAGAGCCAGGAGGCAGAAAACCATCCGTTACCAATAATACTGCGTGTGGACGGTCCACCTGTTTTGTTAATGAAAACCACCTTGCGTTTTAAAAGACATCATTAGGCACATTTCTGGGGTGGGGGTGTTGGGAGGGGAATTTTTCTCAAGATTAGATGCACACGTCTCCCATTCTCTTGAAGAAGTGAGGCCTGAGCAATGGGCCTTCCCTGGTTCTGAGAAAAGGGAAATCAGGTTTTCTGTAGCTGGTGATTTGGGTTCTGTATTCATGACCCACTGAAGCTTTTGAAAAGGGAAGAAGAAAGAAAGGCAGTGCTGTGTAGGGTGAAGCACGTGGATTCGGGCTCCAGGCTGTCAGGTTTGGATTCAGCTCTTCCACTTAGTAGCTGTGTGACTTTGGGCAAGTCAGTTGATCTTTCTGTACCTCAATTCCTCATCAGTAAAATGAGAATACTAATAGGATGTACCTTGTGGGGTTGCTGTAAAGGTTAAATGAGTGTTTATATTTAAAGCCCTTAGAGGATTGCCTGTCACCAGGGTTCCTGAGTGCAGAGACTGTCCTGAGTGTGAGTGGGGTTGCAGCTGATATTGAGTCTTTACTAGCTGTGTACAGGTAAACAGGCTTTTGGAAGTGTGGGGGTGGGAATGATGTGTTGTTTTGTGGCACTTACTTGTCCATCTCCATGTTGCAAATATTCCCACCATGGCTGATTTTTGAGCCATCATTATGGTGTCACTAAATGCAGAATTGGGAAGAGGTGTGCACAATTGACTCTCGAGAGTTGGGGTGAGCTGATTCCAACAGAGCTCTGGCCCAGCACCCACTGGTGTGATGAGGCCGTATAATCAATATTAAAAATGTTCATTCTGGCTGGTCAATGCCTTAAGAGTCCTCCTACTACTCTGTTAGTCATGGTTTCTCCCCTTGTGATCTTCCCAGACTTCCCACTGGTCCATTAACTGAGAGAGTTATGAGGACTCTGCTCCATAATTTGGCCAGTATCAGTTCTGATAGGTCAAGGCTGTGCCAGACCAGCAGATAAGTTGTGTGAGTATCACAAGTCTGCAGCCCCAAAGGTTCCAGGTCAGGAAGCTGAGTGGCCCTTGTTTGTGGGTGTGATGCCTGGCATACTACTGTCAGCTACTCTGTGAGATTCCCTCCCTGTATTGTCACCCAGCTCAGCCACTAGACAAAGGTAAAGCCCTGTAACTGTACTCTGAACTGAGGCAAAAAGGTGTCTATCACTTTTAAAATAGAGTTTGCACATGATTTACTCAAATGATTAAAAAAATGTAATCAATATGACCTACTTCACCAGCTTGGAATGCAAATACCATCTCGTTTCTTTTAGTTTTTCCAATTAATTGCTTGAGTAGTCTTTATGATTCAGAAGTTCAAGCTCTCTCTTTTGAGGCTTCTGCCCCACTGAATTATCGTTGGCTTAGAATAAAGGAAGAACAATTTCCAAATGTGAGCCAGAAAACAAGAGTCTGATTAGTCCACTAGCTGGCAGTCTGAGCTGGGTGGCTGCTGTGGTACTCTCATTCAGGACTCCCAGCCTGACCAATGTGCCAGGGTGGTTGGACCTGGGCAGTATGGAGCCAGGCAGGGGGTAGAAATGAGTGTGATGGGCTGGGAGTGGGCAATAGAGAGTGGTGGGGTCTGTGTTGAAGTGATATGTACCTTCCTCCAGCCAACTGTCACCATGTGAGAGTGTGAGCCCTGTGTTGGCTGATTTTCTCATGTTTTCCAAAGAAACCAGATATGTATAGGGTATTATTTTTGAGGCATAATTTGTATACAATAAAGCATACAAATCTTAATGCGTCTTTACACATGTATACATTTTACATGTGTAACCACCATCCGTCATAAAGAGATGGAACATTTCCACCACCCACAAAGTTCCTTTGTGCTTCTTTCCCAGTCAACAGCTAGCCCCCTCCCCCAAAGGTAACCACTGATTTTTTTTTCTTTTTTTGAGATGGAGTCTCGCTCTGTCACCCAGGCTGGAGTGCAGTGGTGTGATCTCAGCTCACTGCAGCTTCTGCCTGCTGGGTTCAAGCAATTCTCCTGCCTCAGCCTCCGGAGTCACTGGGATTACAGGCATGCATCATGATTCCTGGCTATTTTTTTGTATTTTTGGTAGAGACAGTGTTTCACCATGTTGGCCAAGCTGGTCTTGAACTCCTGACCTCAAGTGACCTGGCCATCTTGGCCTTCCAAAGTGCTGGGATTACAGGCATGAGCCTCCGTGCCTGGCCATGTAACCACTGATTTCTATAGCCATAAATAAGCTTTGTCTGATCTTCAGATTCCTATTAATAAAATCTTACAGTCTGTGTTCTTTTGTGTCTCGTTTCCCTTGTTCAGTATACTTTTGAGAGTTTTCCATGTTGCATGTATTCGCAGTTTATTCCCTTTTATTGCTGAGTAATAGCAAATATCACAGTTTGTTGATCTATGCTCTTATTGAAGAATATTTGGATTGTTTTCACTTTTGGGCTATTGGAAATAAAGCTGTTACGAACCATCATATATGATCCTTTTTTGTGGATATGTGCACTCACTCCTCTTGGATACATATATATGACTAGTATTGCTGGGCTATAGGATACGTATATGAAACTTGATTAGAAACTGACAATTTTTCATAAAGGTTGTATCAGTTTATACTCTCACTAGCAATATATGAGAGTTCTAGTGCCTCCACATCCTCATGAGCACTTTTGGCCATTCTAGTGTGTATGTAGTGGTACCTCACTGTGGTTTTAATTTGCATATCACTGATGAATACTAAGATTGAGCATCTTTCCTGATATTTATTGGCCATTCAGTATCTTCTTTTATAAAGTTCCTTTTAAATTCCTTGCCTTTCTTTTTCCTTTTTAATTGAAGTGTCTTTTATTATTTTGTATTTTTTATCTATGTATTATATATATGTTTTATTTGGGTTATGTTTTGTTGATGATTTCTGTTTTAATCCATTGTAGTCAGAGAACATACTCTTTTGAGATTTATGAAGACTTGCTTTATGTCCTAGCATATAGACTATGTTGGTGACTGTTCCATGTGAATTTAACAACAAGTATGCTTTGAAGTTGTTGAATATTGTTTTCTATGAATATCAATTAGCTCAAGGTAGTTGATAGTGTTCAAATCTTCTGTATACTTGTTTTTTGATTACTTGTTCTATTCATTGCTGTGTTAAAATCCTCAGCGGTGATTGTGGATTTGTTTAGTTCTCCCTTATGTTAGTTTTTGCTTCATGTACTTTGAAGCTCTGTTGTTATGTGCGTACGCATTTATGAGTGTTAGGTCTTCCTGATGAATTGATCCTTTTATCATTATAACATGTCCCTGTTGTTTCTGCTAACACTCCTTATCTCGAAGTCTATTTGTCTCTTATATAAATGAATATAGCCACATCAGCTTTCTTCTGATTAGCATTTATACGGGACATCTTTTCTCAATCTGTTTACTTTCAAACTGTGTCCTTATATTTCAAGTATGTCTCTTGCAAGCAGCATAATTTGAGCTTGTTTCTTTATCCAAACAGGCAACCTCTTTTTAAAAAAATTTAAGTGTCTGGTGAGTATAATTAAGGATATGGTTGGGTTTAAGTTTGCCCTCTTACTATGTGTCCCATCTCTTTTTATATATTTGTTCCTCGTTTCTGGCCTTCTTTTGAATTAACCAGGCATTTTTTATTATTATACTTTATTCCTTTGTTGGCTTTGAAGCTGTACTTTTGTATATTATTTTAAATGTGTATTCTAGAAATTATAATATTCATCTTAACTTTTCACATTTAATAAATCATGTAATTAGTATTAATTACCATAATACAATTTAACAATGTATGAATCTGACAAAATATGATTCCTTTTATTTCCTCTCCTACCATTTGTGCTACTTTTCATATATTTTACTTCTAGACATGATATTAGCTTAACACTTCAATGTTAATTTTTGCTTTAAATAGTAGGTTTATGTATATATATTTGCAAATACCCCTTTCCTGTGCTCTTTATTCCTTCCTGAAAGTTTTGGCCTCCATAATGTTCATCAGCCTGAGGAGCTTCTTTCAGTATTTATTTTAGTTTAGTCTACTGGTGATGATTATTCTCTTCTTTTGTTTTTCTGAAAATGTCTTTATTTTGCTTTATTTTTGAATTATGTTTTCACACTATATAGAATTATAGAGTGACAGTTTTTTCCCTTTTAGGATCTCAACAATATAACTCTATTATTTTCTGAATTCCATTGATTCTGTTGAGAAGTTTGCTATAAATCTGTAAATCTCATGGTTATTCCTCTAGATTTAATGTTTCTTTTTCCTCTGCTTTGAAGATTTTTTTTCATCATCTTTGGTTTTTAGTGGTTTAGCTAAAATATGCTTAGATGTATTTATCTGACTTGAGATTCACTGAGCTTCTTGAATCTGTGGGTTGATATGTTTCATAAAATTTAGAAAATTCTGGGTCATTATCCTTTTAAATATTTATCTTGCTTCAATTATCTTTCTCTTCTTTTTGGACTTCAGTTGTGTTTATATTATACCATTTGATTTTTTTCCCCACAGTACTCTGATGGCATGTTCTGGGTTTTTAAGAATTTTTTTTTTCTCTTTGTGCTTCAGTTTTGCTATTTTTTTAATTGGTCTGGTTTTGAGCTTACTGATCCTTGCTTTGTCCAGCTCATTATTAAGTTACTTCTTCATTTCAGATATTTACCTTTTTAGGTCTGAAATTTCCATTTGATTCTTCTTCAAAGTTTCTGCTTCTCTGATGATATTATCTTTTTACTCATTATATTCATACTTCCCAGTAACTTAAAATATTTGTAACTGCTCTTTTAAATTTCTTGCCTGTTAATTTCATTATCTGGGTCATCTGTAGGTATGCTTCTATTGACTATTTTTCTCTTGATTACAGTTGTAATTCTTTGCATTTATTAGAACTTTGGATCACAAGCTAGACATTGTATACAAAAGCAGGGTAGAAGCTGAAGTAGGTAATATTTACCCCCAGAAAAGTGATGTCTTTTCTTCTTTTAGCAGCAAAAACAATGGTTTCATTCAGTGGTTTCATTGTTTTCAAAAATGTCTTGTGGATGGGATCAGGTCTCACCCTTGGGATCTAAACTGATTATACGACCTCTCTCTCTCCCTCTTTGACTTCCTGCCTGCCCCCAGATTTCCATTCTGTGGGAGAACTCTTGCTCTGGTTTCCAGCCCAGGTCCATAAGTTACTGCATACTCAATTGAAGTCCCATGGGGGAGAACTGGTGGCTAGTGAGCACCATCTACTTTGAGGGCTCAATCAAACTCCAGTCTGTCATTCTCAGCTCTCTTTAATTCAGCAGAGCACCCCAGTCTGTTGCAGGTGTGTGTCTCTGTCTGCCCATATCCCCAAGAATAAAAGCAGCCATAGGTCTCTGTTCCATTATGAAAGGGTTCTCTTTCTCTAAGATTTAGTTTATTTAGATTTCTCTGCATCCTCAGCTCTCTGGTGGGTTTACAAAACATGATTTTACAGTTTATCTGATGTTTTCTCAGTGTTATGGTGGGAGTAACTGTCTTTCATGACCTTGTGTATACTAACTAGAAGCCCAGATCACTGTTCTTTTAGTGTAAAACCATCCCATTTTCAAGATAGCAAAAAAAGTCAAATATTTAAGAAATATTATGCAGACCAAAGGAAATGCTTCTGTGGGATAGGCTGCTTTTAGCCCATTGGCCATAAGTTTGTGGCCCTTAGTATTATTGATAATTATTGTAATATTTTTCTTCCTTGGAAAATGATTAGTAGTTTTTGTTAAGATCTGTTTGTATGAAGAGAGTATGCCATGCTTGAGTTTTTCACATCTTTCACAAGTGTTGTGATAGGGGAAAATGTTAAGAATCTGCTGGATAAGTCGGGTGCGAGTCCCAGCTACTTGGAAGGCTGAGGCAGGCGGATTGCTTGAGCCCAGGAGTTCAAGGCAGCCTGGGCAACATAGTGAGACTCCATCTCTACAAACAACCAAACAATCAAACAAACAAGCTGCTTGATAAGGCCATTGGTGCTCATAGTTGACAGCCCTCTAACTACTTAAGTCCAGTCTTTGGATCTTAGCAAGTCTTACCTTGAGTACAAAGAGAATGGGATCTCCTGGTGGACAGAAGAGAAAGAATCCTGAGGTTGCCAGGTGTGTGTGTGTGTGTGTGTGTGTGTGTGTGTGTACATGAACTTAAAGAAACTAATCATTCCAGGAGTCCAAATTACCAAGGTCAATGTAGTACATAACCCCAGTGCTCTGGGTGTTATGCCAAGCTGCCCTTTCTCCAAGTCTAGTGAGAGCCTGAGGCGTCAATCATGATGTCACATAACCCAATAGGTACTAAACAGCTCGAAAAAGTACCTAAAAGGCAGCAAATCAGCAGGACCTGATGGGAAATGAGGTATACGTAGTGCAACACACTTCATTTCAACAGATCTTACCTGCTATTAATAAAATTGGATTTTCTCATCCATTTTGTTGTGAACAGTTAATCTTATTCTTCTCACATAAAACCTGTAATGAGCCCAATAATCAAACTCTTGACAGAGCATATCATTCTCTAGGATTTGAAGTTCTGTCAAAAGATTTCCCCTGGGGCTTGTAGCTGATCACTAAAAAAACAAGAACGTGTTCCTCTGAGTACGGAGGGCAACGTGGGGAGTGAGAGGTGAATAGTATTCCAGTTCACTGTGATGATTGTATTGGTTACATATTTCCTGCATTGAGCCAGATCATGCTCATTATAGCTCATTGGTGCTGCATATCTGGAACTTCTCTTTGTCCAGTTAGTTGCAGCATTTTCTTTACTCCAACTCCTAGTCTTTTTTCTCCACCCTTCAGCCTCTGTCCATGTTTAGTGTGTCTGTTTCATGTCAGCGTTAGAGTTTGATTGTTTCTCTAAGGTTGGATAAGCAGTTCCTTTGTGGCTTCTCAGATATCTTACATTTGGTTGGCCATTTTTACCCTTTTTGAAAATTTAAAGTCCTCAATTAATTAAATAAATGAACACAACCACATACCTATTTTTGATAAGTGGATTAATGCTCAAAAACAATGCAATTTTATGAATATTTTTATGCACTGTGTTAAGAGAAAAAAGTGACATGCTTAACAAGGCACTTTGCAAGACATTCAAAGGTTAATTTAGAGGATTAAATAAATGTTGGGACATGCACACCACTCTTATAAACACTTTTATATACAGTTCAAAATAGGTGACACATATTTAATAGCAATGCTGTAAAAATTCTAAATTCAATTTAAAAATATTAAGTATACAAATGCTCCAAAATATATCAAGTCTTTCAAAGGCAGTAACCAAAAGGACAGGCATGTTTTCAGTGGTTGGAGTAGTTATTTAAAAAATGCAGGCTCAGCGGAACCTTGGAGAAACAAACCTTTGGATTTTATGTGTCAATAAATGATGTTCAGAACTCAGCTCAGCCCTGGCCCCAGCCTTAGTAGAGGACTGGAGGGTGTCAGGGGCTGGGGGCTCTGGCAGAGGATCAATCAGGTTGCCTGGCACCACAGTGCTCATCTCAGCATTTATTCCTGCCCCTAAGGCTCTGTGTCCCCAGGACACATGATATGGGAACAGGACTATCTCCAGATCCATAGGAAAAGAGACCCCGTTGGCCATCTTAGTGGATGGGAAGTAGTTTCTTGTGGCTGAATCTCTCTGGGCTAGGGTAGCAGGGACCCAAACCCTGGTGCTGGTGTCCTCTCCTTTCTTGACTGGTTGGTTGTACAGTGGAGAGGAAAGAACCCATACTTTAGGTTGAAAAGTCCTGGGTTTGAGACCCTGCTCCAACACTCACCAGCTGGACAAGTCACTTACCAGCTGACTGATCTTCCATCTTCAAACCTGTAAAGTAAGGCTAATAATGCCTTTCTGATAGGGCTTTGGGAAGATGAAATTAGAAAATGGATACAAAAGTTCTTGGCAAATTATATAAGATGCTGCATGCAGTGCTCATTTTGATTTTTTCCATTGCAGATATTCAATTCAAGAAGCAGGTACTAAGCACTTACTGTGTACCAGACAGGCCCTGTATTAGCATTTCATGGGGTAGAATGATGAACAATGAGAACAGATGGACATAGGGAGGGGAACAGCACACATTGGGGCCTGCCGAGGGGTGGCAGAGGAGAGAGGGGATCAGGAAAAATAGCTAATGCATGCTGGGCTTAATCCCTAGGTGATGGGTTGATTGGTGCAGCAAACCACCATAGCACACATTTACCTATGTAATGAACCTGCACATTCTGTACATGTATCCCAGAACTTAAAAAAAAAATCCTCCCCTGCTAGGAGGATAAGATATGTCAGTATATAGCTGAAATGGAGGTCTTTTCCACCTGAATTTACATCTGCAATGAAAATGTACTGTTAGCAATAGTCCCAGTTTAGGATAACCTGCTATAGTGATCATGGGTAATTTGCTTTCCAAACACCCATTCCTGATTTTCCTGGTAATAGCATCTGAGAATCCATCTCTCTCTCTCTCTCAGCCCATGTGGTTGAGCAGGATCCACCCCTGGCCCATGGGTTATACAGTAAGGCTCAGACTTACAAAACCAGAGCGTTCCATTCCCCTGCTGACAGTGATTGGTTCAGGAACTAGCACATAATTCAAGGGAGACCAGTCAGAGCCAGTGAAATTCAGTTCTGGGTTTTTTGTTTGTTGGATTGCTAGGAAAGCTGACTCACACTTCCTCATAGGACTTAAACCTGGAGGTATGTGGTGGAGCTGCTGCAGTCATCTTGTGGTTATACCAGGAGAGTCTTTCTGAGAATGAATGCTATCCAGAGAAAATGGGCCTTAGAGATAAAGAACCAGGTTTTGGTGATTCTCTTTGAGCACCTGTATCCAGCCATGCCTGAAGCCAGACCTACCTCTGAACTTTTCAGCTACATGTGGCACTGAATTATCATTTGACTATGATAATTTCGGTGGGGTTTCTGTGCCTTATGACAGAAATGCTTATAACTCACCCCAGGATGCCCTGAAGAATCCCCCAAGAGCCTCCTTGGAGACCCTGTAGAGAAGACCACGGAAAGCAAGTATTTTACCTTCTGGCTGCCCCCACACTGCTCCAGCTCCTCCATATGCATACTCACACCTGCTGAAGACCATGAGGACCAACATCTTTCAACAGGAAACCAATCTTCTGCCCAGTCAGATGTACCTGTCTTATGACAATGACCCAGCCCTTTCTCCCAAGTGGCACCAGGCCTGAAAACTCTTTCCATTGTAGTCTACTGCCCTCTCCCTTCCCTCTTTTAAGCAATTCTGGGAACTGGCCTCATCCAGAGAATCTTTTCTAACTAAGCAGAAAAAAGCACGAACCATCTTCCTTTTCACATACTACGCCACTAGCCCTGCCTGAGATGTCCCTCAGCCAAGGAAGGTCAGAGCTGGAAGGGTAGACAATCGAGGTCATCTAGTGCAGGAGGAGGAAGTGGCTTGTCTGCCTTCACTTGGCAAGCTAGTTTCAGGATCAGGATAAGCAACCAGGTCTCTGCGTTTCTTTTGCCACCATGGGACAAGGTTTGTTTACATTCTGTATTTCTGCATTGCAATACGTGAGATCCTCTTAGACCAGCATGGTGTATGTTGGCGTATAAGTGCCTAGGGAGCAAGGATGCTGCTATATGGTCTGGGTCAGTGGGAGACACAGGATGGGATGGATCTGTGTGAAGCCAGGACAATTGCTCCCATGGTGACCCAGTTGAGTTCCTGACCTGCCATAGGTCATTCTGCCTTGGATTCATGGTTCCTCCCTGGGAAATAGGATTGATGTCTCATTTTCATTCCCTGTTGGAGTTTGCTGGAAGACACTCTCTCCCAGAGCTTGGACCGTGAGGTTTCAGAGAGCCAGAGCTGGTCTGCAGTGGCTCTGTGAGGGAGTTTGTATCTCTGCCTACACACTCTGCTTATTCATCTGACAGGGCTCCCAGCAGCTGGAAGGGCAGCTCTCTCTTCCATGCTGATGATACCGGGAGTGGACATATGATCTGGTTTGATAAGTTCCTTAATCAGATCAATTCTTTTAAGAATTTGAAATTAAGACTATGAGAGAGAATGAGTTGGTGAGCTGGGAGGCTGCGCTATGGCGCCCTGTGGAGTTGAGGCCAAGTGAGCCTGGCTCATGGAAGCCATGGAAAGCCTAAGTTATGGATGAACCAGAATGACAGCACCTAGATGACGCCCTTCTACAGAGAGAACTGGAAACATGATGGCGCTTCCCAGAAAGAGGCGGGAGGGAGGGAGAGGGAAGCACAGATGACTTTCCAGCTGCTGTGAGAATTACTTTCACTTCGTGCTATCTTCTCGAGTTTTTCTGGTAGCCCTTCAATAAAACTCTTTATTAGTTGAGCTAATTTGAAGAGGTGTGGTGGGGGGGGGGGTCCCTGTTTCTTGCAGCCAAGTGATGCTTGACTAAGGCAGTGTCTCACACATGCTGCCTCCCCAGGTCCTTGCAGCAAGCTCTGCACATTTGCTGAATGTGTACGTGTGCCCCTCGGGGCTGCGTGACTGATGGAGGTGCATTCAGCAGTCCAGTGAGCCCAGGGCCCAGGCCCAGAGCTGTAGACACAAATGCTCTCTCACCTGATGAGGGACAATGGGAAGAGGTGAGCCACTGGTGGGTGTTTCTGGGGTGTTTACAGTGGAGGCTTAGTTTCAGAAACAGAAGGCTAATAGCTCTAGGGTCTTCTTCAAAACCCTGTGGAACATGAGTGCTCCCTGTCTTCAGCATTCTTACCTACGCTTTTTGAGTCCCTATGCCTCCCCTTTGACCCCAGGTTCTCAAGATACTCCGTGGTTCCCCTTGGGGCCCCTAATCGGTCTTGTCCTGGTTCTTTGAGTCTCAGTTAACTGCAATCTCATTCTGTCTCTCCTCCTTCCCCTTCTTTTCTTTGATGTTGAAATCTGCATACCTAGCAATGGGGAGAGTCTGTAATACAAGTGGCAAATACTCGGATTCATCCCTGTGTCCCCGGAGCCAGCCTAGCTCCTCACCTCCAGTAGCTGGTACCCAGCCCACCCACAGGCCTGGTACTTTCATCTCATATCCTGTTCGGTGCCCTGCAACAAGGTAGGCACTTCGGAGACATTTGTGGAATTCCTTGAATTTGGAGGAATATACTTGATAGAATAGGATGCTCTTCTAGAGGGCCTTCGACAGTCTAGGGGAACTGTAGAGCCCCAAGGCCTTGGGGAAATGGAGAATGAAGAAAAGGAGTCTGAGAGACAAGGAGGGCTATGGGAAGAGGGGGAAGTCACCAAAGGCATGTTTTGGCAACTGAATTAGTCAGGGTAGTGCCATTGGTGTAGCAGAGAAACTCAAGATTGCAGTATCTTAAAACAATAGAAGTTTACTTTTTGTTCAGGTATGAGTGTGATTTGGGTGTTTGGCAGGTGGTTTCCATGTGGTAATTCGGGCACTCAGGTTCCTTTCCCTTTGTAGTTCCATCATCCCTAGGACCTGCAAACGTTTCGCTGGATGCTGTACATCCAGCCAGTTGTGTGTGCACACGTGTGTGTGTGTGCGTGCATGCACACGTGTGTGTGTGTGTGTGTGTGTATGAGAGAGAGAGAGAGAGAAACCTGCATGGGAGGCTTTCATGGGCCAGCCCTGGAGGTGACATCTTGAAATTCTGCTCACCTTCCATTGGCTAGAAATTTAGCCTCATAACTATTTTAAAATGTAAGTTTTATGATTGCTCATGTACAGTGAGGCCAACAGATCAGGAGGCAATTACCACTGAAAAGAGAATCTGTTACTGACAGTTCCCGATAAGAAGGGGGCATGCCATGCCACGCAGGGCCACATGTGGGAGGAGGCAGAGGGAGTGAGGGGAACTGTGGGGAAACCTTCACTGAGGTTGTCTGGGGAAGGCAGGGTAAGCAGGTTTAGAATTGGTTAGTTTGAGACTCAGGGGGGTAGGGGCTGCCCCTAGTTGTCTGATGGCTGACCCTGGGGTAAGTAGGGCAGGGAAATAGTGTCCCACAGTATGAGGGCAGGTGTTGTGGGTGTGGGCTTTGGATTGGGTAATTTGCATTTGAAAGGTGTACTCTTGGGAGGGTCACTATCTCTAGAAATGTGCCAACTCTGGGAGGGGCAGTTTCCCCAGGTCTTGGATGTCAGAACATCATACTAAAAAATCATGACTAATTCCGGCCGGGTGCGGTTGCTCACGCCTGTAATCTCAGCGCTTTGGGAGGCCGAGGCGGGTGGATCATGAGGTCAGGAGATCAAGACCATCCTGGCTAACACGGTAAAACCCCGTCTCTACTAAAAATACAAAAAATTAGCCGGGCATGGTGGTGGGCGCCTTTAGTCCCGACTACTTGGGAGGTTGAGGCAGGAGAATGTCGTGAACCCGGGAGGCGGAGCTTGCAGTGAGCCAAGATCGCACCACTGCACTCCAGCCTGGGCAACAGAGCAAGCCTCCATCTCAAAAAAAAAAAAAAAAAAAAAAGCAAAAACAAAACAAAACCAACAAACAAAAAAACCATGACTAATTGAATGACCACACTGAATTGCAAGAGGGGGAGGGAAATATTATCTAGTTGTGTGCCCAGGAAAAAAAGAGACACTCAGTTCTGGTGAGCTTATTTAGTGTCCACAACAACAACTTAATGAAGAAGAGAGAGCTGAACATTTGGAGCTAGAATATCTGTATGGAACTCCTGACCCAAGAACATGTAGCTGTGGAGGCCTGGATGAGTCACTTTCCCTCTCAGCACATCAGTTTCATTAGCTTTCAAAAGGGGGAGAATCCTCAGAGCTACATCTCATGGCAGTTGTGAGAGTCAAATAAAATGTATAAGATGCTCCTGGCAAACTCTAGAGTGCTGCTCAAATGTTAACTGGTGTGTGTGTGTGTGTGTGTGTGTGTGTGTGTGTGTATGTGTGTGTGTGGTTTTTCCAAGTTTCCAGGGGTCGCTGTGCTTCTTCCCTTCCTCTTGGAGTTGGAGCTCTGCTGTCATTCAGGCACAGGTCCCGCCTCCAGCACGCTTGGAGTAGGACCAATGAAGCAGCTGCGATGACTTGATTCCCTAAAGCCACATGCAGGGGCTGGGAGGGTCTTTACAGGGATGGCTCAGGATTAACAGATGTGGTCGGGGGATTTCATGCCATCTCCAGCTGGGAACACATGCGGCTCAACAGGAAAGATGCTGATTAGTGACTCCGACAGTGCTTTTAAAAAATGATTCTTTTCCCCATTTGAAATCAGTACATGTTCACTAAAGAAATAGAGTTAAATATAGAAAAATACAAAGAAAAAGTAAAGGCGTTCCTAGAACCACCGCACAATCATTGGTAACATTTTGTTTTTGCTTTTTTCCCCTTTTGGTATTTTCCTCCTGTGAAATGGCTTTTAATTCATTTGTTCTTAATCAGAAATTCATTTTGATACATAGTATACAAAATTCAAAAGTTACAGAGGATTATGCAGTGAAAAAGAAGTCTGCCTCCCCTTGCAGCTCCCTTCCTGGAAGGTGGCCTTGGTTACCAGTCCCTTACGTTCCTTTCCAAAGTTAATCAATGCACATATAAGTATATGCACGCATATTTTTAAATTTTTAAACATGTTCTAGCATGATATACACCTTCTTCAATAACTTGCCTTTCCACATAACAATATATCTTAGAACACACTCTTATCAGTTCAGGGGAACTGCCTCATTCATTTTAAAGGCTGTATGATATTCAGTTGTATGGACTGTATCACAATATATTTAACCAGCCTGATATTGAAGGATAGTTTGTTTCCAGTCTTTTAGATTTTTAACGATGCCACAATGAATATTCTTATACATATATCATTTCATGTATGTGTAAGCCTATCCATAGGATAATTTTCTGGAATTGCAATTTCTAAATTAAAGACTCTGCACGTTTTAAATATTATGTTTTATTGTCTCCATAAAGGTCATATGCATTGAGAGTGCATATGAGTGAGAGTGTCAGTTCCTTCATATTCTTGCTAATAATCTGTTATTAAGCTTTGTCAACTTGGCTAACATAATAGGTAAAAATGAGAGGTATCTCATTTTAATTTGTAAATCTTTTTATGTGTTTAAAAATTCATTTTTATCTTAGTTACCGTTAACTATTTTATCTTATCCACATTTTCCTACTGGACTCTTGATCTTATTGATTTGTAGACACTCTTTATATATAATAGAAATTAGCCTTTTGTCTTTAATATATGTTGCAAATATTTCCCTTAATTTGTTACTGTTCTTATAATTATCATTTTTATTTTTGTGAAGTTAGTAGTGTAATCAATCTTTTCTATTAGAGTTTCGGGGTTTGTTTTGTATTTTTTAAAAGGCCTTTCTGACTGGGCTCAGTGGCTCATGCCTGTAATCCCAGCACTTTGGGAGGCTTACATGGGAGGATTGCTTGAGTCCAAGAGTTTCAAGACCAGCCTGGGCAACATAGTGAGACCTTGTCTCTACAAAAAAAAAAAAAAAAAGAAAAATTAGCCGGGCATGGAGGCGCATGCCTGTGGTCCCAGCTACTCAGGAGGCTGAGGTGGGAGAATCACTTGAGCATAGACAGTTGAGGCTACAGTGAGCCAAGATCGTGCCACTGTACTCCAGCCTGGGTGACAGAGTGAGACCTTATCTAAAAAAAAAAAAAAAGAAAAGAAAAAAAGGCGGCGGGGGGTGGGTGTGTGGTTTCCTATTTCAACTCCAAGAATGTAAAACCTTCCTTCAGTTCCTGAACTTCCAAGGTTCATTAACCTTGCTTCCATCAGGAATTTATTTTTGGGTAAAGAATAAGGTTGTGACGAAACTTTTCTTTTTTTCCTAACTAGAGACTCAGTTTATCCCAACATCATTTACTGAATCCTGCATCCTTTGTTCTACTGATTTGGAAGGTTGTGTTGATCATGAGCTTTATTTTTCATTTGTATTTGAGTATGTTTCTGGAATCTAAAATCTGTTTAATTGGTGGGTTCTGTAAAGGAGATGAACAGACAGAGCAGGGAGTGATCAGAGAAGGTCTCTGTGAGGAGGTGACATTTCAGCTGAGGTCTGAAGGTTGAGTAGAGGAATTAATCTGGCTGAGCGCAGCAGGGTAGCAGGGTCTTTCAGGAGGAGGGAACAGCATGTGTGAGGGCTTTGTAAGAGCTGACATAACCAAATACCACAGCCAAGGTGGCTTAAGCAACAGAACTTGATTTTTCACAGTTCTTGAGGCTGGGAGTCCAAGATCGAGGTGCCATAGGATGGCATCCTAAGCCAGTTTTGGGCTGGGTTTCCTATCGCTTACAAGCAAAAGAGTACTAATTTTCAGTATCAGAACAAAATGGTAACACTCTGAGCATTTATTCATGCAGTGCTGAAATGCTAGCGTTGCTTTCTTGTGAAGCCCTCTCTCCTGGGCTTGCAGACGGCCACCTTCTCCCTGTGTCCTCATGTGGTGTTTTCTCTTAAGTGGGTACGCCTGGTTCCTTTTTCTCTTCTTCTAAGGGCACCAGTCCTACTGGCTTAAGGCCCTTCATTTAACCTTAGTACTTCCTAAAGACTGTTTCTCCAGATACAGTCATATTGACAGTTAGGAATTTGGTGGGGGGCGGGCACAGTTCAGTCTGTGTCAGACTAGGTGCATCACAGGAACTGACAGGGACAAGTCCAGTGTGGCTGGCCTCCAAGTCAGGGAGCAGGTCATAGGAGATGAGGGTGAAGAGGTGAAGAGGGGGCCTGTCAGGACTTATGCGCCATGCTAATTAAAGATTGTGTTCTTCATCCTATGCAAGCAGGAGACTTTGAAGGGTCTTAGGCAGGGAAATGACATGATCAGGTTTACATATGTGTTTTTATACCCCTCTTTTAAAGTGCTTAAGATGCTTGTTGAATGAATGAAGACACTAGGTGTAAGCTTCATCCTGCAGGCCCTCTGAAGGATGGGGATGAAGTGCGCATCTTTTCTTCACTCTTGAGATTTCCAGCACAGCCATCAGACTCTCCCTCTCCCTCTGCCTCACTGTGCTGAAAGCAGTGAGATCTGCATATTAGCCCACAATTAGCCTTTAATTAGAAAAGCATGGCTTTGCCTTCACAAAAGGACAAATATCTTTAAAAATGGAATCACTTTAATTGAATAAATCTTTTACTAGATAGTTCTGAAAAGTCTACTTCTTTCATTACGAGCCCCATCCAGCAAGGCTGTTTGAACATGCTCGGTTAATAGAGCAGTCACGAGAGCATGGTTTTGAATAGGGTTGTTTGATCATGCAGGGTAGCCTGAGTCTTGGCCAGCAAAAGGCTCTTCCCCGAATCTCTGGGCTTCCTTTGTGGGTTCTCTCAAGCACTGCTACACAAAGCGTGGTCCAGAGCCTGTAACATCAGCAGTGGTTAGGAGCTTGCTGGAAATGCAGAGTCTCAGGCCCCATCCCAGGCCTTTTGAATCAGAATCTCTAGGGGTGGGGCCAGGATATCTATGTTTTAAAATCTATGTTTTAAGCTCTCCAGGCAATCCTAGACACACTAAGGTCTGCATTCAGAACCCAGAGGATATCTACAATGCTTTGTCCCATCAGCCTGTCAGATAGAGGGTCCCCAGGCAAGCCACCATCATCTGGAACTGCCAATCAGACGTTCACTCTACAAACAGTTATGGAGCAACTATGGAACGCCAGGCATTTCCTGGGACTGGGAATACCTGATAGTCCCTGTCCTCTAGGAGTTTAGCCAAATAACTTTTTTTTTCTTTTTTTTTTTTTGAGACAGACTCTCATTCTGTCACCCAGGCTAGAGTGCAGTGGCATGATCTCAGCTCACTGCAACCTCCGCTTCCCGGGCTCAAGCGATTCTCCTGCCTCAGCCTCCTGAGTAGCTGGGATTACAGGCATGCACCACTACACCCAGATAGTTTTTGTATTTTTAGTAGAGATGGGGTTTCACCATGTTGGCCAGCCTGGTCTTGAACTCCTGACCCTAAGTGATCTGCTTGCCTCGGCCTGCCAAAGTGCTGGGATTACAGGTGTGAGCCAACCAGATTTTTTTTTTTTAATAGTGTGAAGGGAGTCATTTAAGAGAGAAGTCTGGAATTCTATGGAAGCACAGAGGGGCGCATCTGAGGTGAGTACGTGTTGTTTCGTCACACAGCATCAGCTCTCTCTTCTTGGGGTAGTTTCTTATGCTTTGGGGAAACTGCCCCTTTCCCACCTCAGTCTATGTTTCACAGAAAGCTGAGCTTACCCCAGGCTCTGCAGTGATGCGGCTTATAATGCGGGACTCAGGGGTTGCTGTAGCGATGGCCACAACAGCCCACTGGAGCCGATGGGAGGCAGCAGGACTCCTGCGGATTTCTGGGAAAGCAGCTCCTCCCAGCTCGATGTGTGGTTGAATGGGCGTGAGGTCTGGAGCTGCTGCAGTCTCTGGGTGACCCTGAGGGATGGCCTATCCAAGCATAAAGGGGACCCATGGAGGAGAACTGAGTCTGACTGAAAGACTGAGCAACCCAGGTCCTGGTGATATTGTTCTTGCCCTTGCGCCGAGCTAGGCCTGAGGCTAGCTGACACACTGGAATCTTCATACATGTGAAGTAACAGATTCCCTTTTTGCTCAAGCCAGTTTGGGGCTGGGTTTCCTATCCCTTACAACCAAAAGAGTACTGAGTTTCAACATCAGAACAGAATGATAATACTATGTTGGAATATTTATTCATATGTTGCTGAAATGCGAGCATTAATCCTGTTTTTATTGTTTTGTTTTGTTTTGGTTTTTTGAGATGGAGTCTCACTCTGTTGCCCAGGCTGGAGTGCAGTGGTATGATCTCGGCTCACTGCAACCTCTGCCTCCTGGGTTCAAGCAATTCTCCTGCCTCAGCCTCCTGAGTAGGTGGGATTACAGGCGCACGCTACCATGCCCGGCTAATTTTTGTATTTTTAGTAGAGATGGGGTTTCACCATGTTGGTCAGGCTGGTCTCGAACTCGTGACCTCATGATGCACCCGCCTCGGCCTCCCAAAGTGCTGGGATTACAGGCATGAGCCACCACGCCTGGCAATACTGGTTTTTAAAAATGAAGTATTTAAAATTCATTTTAAAATAATCAGTGAAACTAAAACCTTAATACCTTTCAAATACAAAATATGTACAAATGTGGAAAAATCAACTAAAAGTTTTAATTAAAATGTTAACATTGAACAAACATTATGATCCTAACATCATTCTGACATTGACTGACATTCACCACCACCAGCCCTGCCGTTTCATGTCATTATCTTCTGGTTCTGCTAGCAGCTCCTCCCATTGTCCCAGTTAGGCCTATCGGGGGTTAAGGTTGCCCTCTGTTTCTAGTCCTATGTACGATGCGATCTCTTTTTGGGTTCCCTAAACCCTGCCTTTGAAAATAATCACTTTGTTAAACTCTTGTCAACTATCTAGTTTGAGTGTTCCACTCATTTTCTGATACGTATCTCAACCCCCAAACAAAAACACTCATTGCAATCAGAAAACAAAAGTGCTAATTGATGCATGGTCTAAACTAGCTGGAGGTGAGGTGATCAGGGAAGGTTTTCTGGGGGAGGGGTCAGGCACTAGTTTGGAGGGATGAATAGGAGTTAGGCAGATATTTAGTGATGCAGCTCATTCTTCCAGACTGAGTCCTGGACTCACCTCCTCCAGGAAGCTTTCCCTGATCTGGTGGTGGGAGGAATTGGGAGATGACAGGGAAGATATTCCAATGAGAGAGAGCAAAAGTGAAGCCTAGGGAGGCAGCAGGGGACTGAGAGCTGCAGGGGTTTCAGTGAGACATGAAAGTAGGCCATAAGGAAGAAGTGGAGGTAAATGGAAAGCAGGTGAGGTGGGCAGGATCCAGGACCCCACTTTGCTCAATGTGGCAATGTGTTTTCTAGCATCTAGTCCGACTTAGGATGATAGAGCCCTCGTGTTCTGCTTGGATGTTTGAGTTGGTGGTCATGATGGTGGGAGTGGACTGGGCGTGGTCAGTGTAAGGATTTCCCCAAAGCACAGGAAGATAGGAAAGAAACTATGTGCCGGGTGGTTTGCTGGGTGCTCTTACAAAGATCTCAAGTAGATCCGACCAGTGACTTGTGAGGCAGATGTCTTTTGGATCCACTTTAAATACAGGGAAAACTGAGGCTTACAGAAGACAGATGACTTTTTCAAGCCACCACTAATAGGGAATGAAAGAGGGCTTCAGACTGTGGTTTGCCTCTCAAGGTCAGGGTCTTGCCCTAAAAGGCAGTCTTTGAAAGTGTGTGTGTACATGTATGGGTATGAGCATGTGAGTGTATATGTGTATGTGAGCTAGTAATCATGTGCATGTGTGTGTGTGCGCATGCACATACATAGGCAATACTTTTCCAGATGCAGGTGGACAGAACAGAAGCCCTTTGTCCCAGAGAAGAGCAGGCTGAATGGCGCTTTTCCTGAATCCTAGGGTTACTCTATAGAAGAGGAGGAGGATGCTAATGAGTGGAAGTTCTAGGATGGCCGACTTCACATTCCTTCCTATTAGGACCAGTCCACGCTGCTGAGTCAGGAAGGATCTGAAAGGGCTCGAGCCTGGGCCAGGTGGTCAACCATCGCGGGGGCATTGTAGGAGAAGCCTCTGCCTTGAAAGGGCTGGATCAGATGGCACAGAGGGTCCCTCCCAGCTCTGAGACATTCCAATGACTGTCAAGGGATGACTGAGGTTACCAGTGAGTCCCAGGACTCTGGCTTTCCCCCTGCAGGTAGGGTGGGTATGTGGTGGTAGTGTGTGGGGGCTCAGGGCCTTGTTGGTGAGCGTGCATGGTGAGTGTGCATTCAGGGGTTGACAGGAGCCACTGGCTGGGCCTCACACTCACAGAAGGCTTCAGATGTGGGCTCTTGATATTGTCCCCAAATGAGGTTACATATGCAGTCCGAGAGATAAGCTGACAAGATGGCGAGGGGAGGACATTCATCATCCAGCCCTAAGCACAATGCATTCCTGAAGCCTGCTGCTGCTTGCCATGTCCTAAGAATTAATTGTTCATAAATCCTTTAATTATTTTGTGGATAACACAATTATCTCGCGTTTAAAACACACAATGGTAATTTGTTAAATGTAAACATTTAAAAGAGCTACAAATTTTGAAACGCGGTTGTAGCAATTTGTCATGCTTGAACATGCTGGAAACCTCAAAACTGTAAGTGATCTGGGTCTCTCGTGACTTTTGAGGACCCCAGGGTGTGGGTGTTCATGGACGCTTATTTGAGTGAGTATGGGTGATAGAGTGCATTTGTGGGGCTGTGGGGAAGTGTTTGTGTGTATATGAGGATTTGTGTGTGTTTATGTGTGTGTGTGTCTCTGTGTTTGTGTGTGAGAGAGAGAAAGAGGGAGAAAGAGAGAGAGTTTATATTCTGCAGGGGGATCAAGATAGGTTTATACACTGCCGGTGACCATCTGTAGCTTGTGGGGACTGAGGGTGGGCTGCAGGGGAGGAGGCGCTGTCAGAGCACTGCAAATCTAAGATGTCAGGGGCATAACTTGATTTGGAGATTTGGCCCGAATAACCCTCTCCAAATAGAAAAATCAAGGACCCAGCGTGGAGGCAGCCTGTCTGGGCTCAGGCTGGTAATGAGGACTAACAAGGGTTGATGGAGCCTGGGAGCGATGGGCGGAGATGGCCCCGAGCTGCCTGGCACCCTGGGGCCTGCAGCCATCCAGGGCTGCCCGGCCCCGGCCTAATGCTATCAGCCACGGAGATTCTCTGTGATAAGGGTTGAGAGAAGAGGAGAGAGCAGCCTTGCCAGCCACAGAGGAAGGACAGTGGCCTCTGCACAGTCTTCACAGGAATCTGCTCTTGTGTGCTGGCAAAGCTGGGATAACTAAATGGAACATTCTAGAGGGTACTCTGTTAAGTCTCCACTAGAGCAGGAGGTCTTAGCTATCCTTAAAAATACATTACCTAATACATGTTCATTTTAGGTAATTAGAAGATATAGCTTGTCATAAAGAGAAAAGAAACAGCTTCACCCAGAGGTCACCACTGTATACGTTTTGCTGGGAAGGAGCTTCTTGGGAACCACAGGTGGGGGTCAGGATCTAAAGTCAGGAGGAAAACCACAGTGGACAATTTCTCAGGAAGGGGCCGCATTAGGAGAGGACGCGGCATCTTTCCATCCGTACAAGTCAGCCATTTTCCTCTGGGCTTGAACTTGATCACTGCTTCATTGGTTGAGCCCTAGAAAACGTAGCTGGCTTGCATTTAGGGGACAGGTTGTATAAAAAAATACACATCTTGAAACATTAGCATCATACTCAGCATGGGAGGATGCTCACATTCTGAAAGGCAAATGAGAACTGAGAGGGACTGAAATTTCAGCATTCTTGTGTCCTCATCTCACTCACGTGTTCAGTGAGTGTCAGGTCAGATCTCCTGCACGCTTTAAATTATTCTCTCTTTCTCTGTCTCCCTGCCGCTGCCCCCCACCACCCCACACATCTTGGGGACTGCACAGTTTAACTCAGAGAAGTTAAAGGAATGCATGATGTAACTATTATGTATCTTTTCAATCTTTCCTTATGCACATGAATGCATCTATAGGTTTGATTGACAAAAACGGGATCATAATGTCCATGCTCTTTTCATTTATTATATCCTGGCTCTTCCTCTGTGTACTATCTGTATCATCATTTTACTCTTAGCATGCCACTGAAGAGATAATACCATAATTTGTGTAATTATATAATCAATTTCTTATTGCAGGGCAGCTACTTTCAAACTTTTGTTATCCCAGTAATTGCTGCAATACATTTTCTTTCACAGGAATCTTTGCTTTCCTAACTATTTATTTTCCTAGAAGAAATTTTCTCAGTGAGGAATCCTATGTCAAACATATTTACAGTTTAAGCCTTTGGTCACAGCTCAGCAGATATTTTTACTCTTACCTAGGGAAGCGGGGAGACGAGCTCAGTAGCCCAGAAAGAGGTGGATTGGTCTTATCTGTGTGGTGAAGAGCATTTGACAGTGGCCCTAGTTCTCACTCCACTTGCCTTATGGCCGTCCATCAACCTCAGTTTCCCATATTTGCCCTTTATCTATGGGATAGTTTCCCCCTCCTAACCAGGATGAGCTAGGCTCAGTTCATCTCTGGTTTCCTTGAAGCAATAAAGATGATCCATTACATTTGTGGAGTACTTTACAGATTTCAAAGTGGTTTTTATGAGTTTTATCTTGTTGAATTTTCACAAGGCAGGCTTTATTAGTTCTTCATTTGGCAAAAAATGGCCCAAAGGAGGTTCAAAAAAGTTAAGGGAGATTGTCCAGTTCGCAGACATCACACCTGAAAACCAGACCTTCAGAATTTTAGTTCAGCAAACTGAAAGTGCCACTAGGGTCACAAGGCAAGAAGAGTCAGGGACTCAGCTGCAGGCTCTCTTAGTCACCATCCTACCAGAGCCCAGGGGAGGAGCCGGAACTTGCCATGTAGTGGACCACTGTTGCTTCTGCCTGCCCATCATTCCTCCTCCTTTTCTTTGGTAACATCCTGATTTTAGCTTGAGGACTACCCTTGGTAAGTGGTCACTAGCTTGAAGCATATGCTACATTTTGTAGGGCAGTACCTCAGTCTCACCAGTTCGTTCCTCCATACTGTAAGGCTAGTTGCTTTTGGGTGATGAACTACTTGAAACGGATCTAGTCTCCCTTTCAGACCTCATCCTGATCTGACTGTTCAGGGGATGCGTATTACCTGGGCCTGGCATATTCAATCTCATTGGCCACAGCAATCGATTCAGTGATGGATATGTGACCCAAACTGCGTGAATGAGATTCAGTCCAGGGACTTTTTTTTTCTTGATGATTGGAAAGAGAAACTCTCTTTCCCTGGGTTTGGGGCTCCCAGGGGCCACTACAAGGGAAAGAACCTACTTGAGAAGGAATCCAGTGCAGATAAAAGCTAGGTCTAGAAATGGAAATGGATATAGCAAAATTCTGATGACATTATTTTGTCATCTGGAAATTCTGCAGAGGCTGTGACATACTGCTCAACTCCTGTGAAAACACAAACTGGACCTTCACTGCACTGAACTTCTGTTACAGCTCCTGCAGAACTGCCTAAGACTGCATACTTGCATGATTCCACTAGTCTCACCGTTCACCTCACTATTCTCCCATCTGCTTTCTAAGTTTTATGCTGATGCCTCTGATTGAAAGAAGCTAGTTTTATGTCTGTACCTTACTGAAAAGGGAGGCTGAGAAATGTAGTTTTTTTTTTTAGATGATATCTTGCAAAGGTAGGACTTACAATGTGGAAGTATTCAAAAATTTGAGATGTCACTACAATCCACCCCTTTGCTGCATAATGTCAACATTTATGTGCCCCATTTTAATGCTTATATTACCAGCTGTAATAGTAACAGTAACCTGTGCTAGCCTGAGAGAATACAATGATCACTCGTACAAAAGAAAATGCACTACCCCAAAGGAAGGACTCCAAGTTTCATTGTTTTTCTGCGGCATCCAGATCCAAGTTCAGGTTTTCTGGGTGATATTCATTTCTCCTCTATCTCAGTCATACTGTCATTGGTATTCTGTAGTCTATGGACTAGGTTGTAAGATTAAGTACTACCCACACAGACTACATAAAATAGTGCAGAAAAGCAGAAAGAAATAAAATAGTAAAATGTATTAAATAGACATAAATACATACATGACACAGCAAACGAAGAAGAAAATGTGGATAGTCAATGTCTATGCTGCAGAACTTATTTTTCTGCAACTGGTCACGAGGCTGCAGTTGTTATTTATAATGTCCTTCTTCTACCCATTCGTGTTCCCTTTGTCCTCAGCAAGTGAGCCAGCTGGGCATGATTCTTTATCTAGAGGGATGACCCAAACTTCATTCCTGGGGGATCTGAATACTTAATTGCTCTGCCGTTATGGGATTGAAAGTTACCTTCTATTAACTTTTTTTTTTTTTTTTTTTGAGACTGAGTCTTGCTCTGTCACCCAGGCTGGAGTGCAGTGGTGCGATCTCAGCTCACTGCAACCTCCAGCTTACTGCAACCTCCACCTCCCGGGTTCAAGTTACTCTTGTGCCTCAACCTCCTGAGTAGCTGGGATTACAGGCATCCACCACCACACCTGGCTAATTTTTGGAGTTTTAGTAGAGACAGGGTTTCACTATGTTGGCCAGGCTGGTCTCAAACTCCTGACCTCAAGTGATCTGCCCGCCTTGGCCTCCCAAAGTGCTGGGATTACAGGTGTGAGCCACCCTACCTGGCCCCTTCTATTAACTTTTATCACCAGACATGGCAGTTTTAGAGGTGCCCCAGAGAATCTCTTGGTTTACAGAAATAGTCCTTTCTGCCCACATGTGTGACAGTAGTCTACTTGGATAATCTGGATCAGTCATTTTGTCCAACAGGGGATGATAAATCTCAACTGTCCGGGCGGGAGTCTCAGGTTCCAATTCAGTGGCCTCATTATTGTGTCCTCTGGTAAAAGTGTCCCTCCCATGGGTTCAAAGTCTTTGAACCAGCAGAGCCCAAAAGTCACAAAAAGCAAAAATTTAGCAAGTTGTTCATTAGGTATCATTATGAGAGAAGATACTCTTTTTTTTTTTTTTTTTTTTTTGAGCCAGAATCTTGCTCTGTTGCCCAGGCTGAAGTGCCAGTAGCACCATCTCGGTTCACTACAGCGTCTGCCTCCTGGATTCCAGAGATTCTCCTGCCTCAGCCTCCCTGGTAGCTGGGATTACAAGCACACGCCACCATGCATGGATAATTTTTGTATTTTTAATAGAGACAGGGTTTCACCATGTTGGCCAGGCTGGTCTTGAACTCCTGACCTCAGGTGATCCGCCTGCCTCAGCTTCCCAAAGTGGTAGGATTACAGGCGTGAGCCACCGGATACTCCCATTTTTACCTCTTATTTTTAGGGGGTGAAACAGCAGTCATTCACTTAAGACATATGCTACATTTTGTAGGGCAACACTTCAACCTCATCAGGTCCTGTCTTCATGCTGGACAAGGGGTCACTCCATTCTCTCAGGCCAGTGGCTTTTGGATGATGGAATACATGGGAAGACCAGTGCATGTTATGCACATCAGCCCACCCCCATACTTCTTTTCCTGTACATTTGTTCCCTGGTCACAAGCAATGTTGTGAGAGATGTCAACATTTTGAATAAGGCATTCAGTAAGTCCATGAATTCTGTGGCTTTCAGAAATATGGTGGGAGAGGAAGATGTATTAGTTTGCCTTGGATTGCCATAATAAAATCCTACAGACTGGGTGGCTTAAACAACGGACATTTATTTTCTCACAGCTGTGGAGACTGGAAGTCCGAGACGACAGTGTTGGCACATGCGTTTCTTCTGAGGCCTCTGCTTGGCTTGCAGACACTTGCTTTCTCACCGTGTCCTCACGTGGCCTGTCCTCTGTGCTTGTGTATCTCTGATGTCTCCATATGTCCAAGTTTCCTCTTCTTCTAAGACCACCAGTCAGATTGGATTAGGACCCACCCTGATGGCCTCGTTTTAACTTACTTTGGAGATATAGACCTGTTTAAAGTCTATGTCTGGCCAGGTGCAGTGGCTCACGCCTGCAATCTCAGCACTTTGGGAGGCTGAGGCAGGCAGATCACCTGAGGTCAGGAGTTTGAGACCAGCCTGGCTAACATGACGAAAACCCATCTCTACTAAAAATACAAAAATTAGCTGGGCATGGTGGCAGGCGCCTGTAATCCCAGCTACTCGGGAGGCTGAGGCAGGAGAATTGCTTGAACCTGGGAGGCAGAGATTGCAGTAAGCCAAGATCGCGCCATTGCACTCCAGCCTGGGCCACAAGAGTGAAACTCCATCTAAAAAAATAAAATAAAATAATTAAAATAAAATTAAAAAATAAAGTCTGTATCTCCAACTTTACTGACATCCTAAGGTACTGGGGTTTAGGGCTTCAACAGATAAATTTTGGGGAGACACAATTCAGCCCATAACAGAAGAAAAATCCGTATCTAGATTAAGTGTCTGTTGGGGAAGGACTGACTCCAATGCGATCAGTCTACTCAATGGTGGTAGGCTGTTTTCTCAGAGATATATCTCTTATCCAGGCATCCCAAGTGGTCATTGCTACTGGCAAGTTATGTGCTCAGCAGTGGCAGTATCCTGGTCATGGGAAGTCCATGTTGTTGAGGCCATGCATAAGGTCCAGCTTTGTCACTATGGCCATGTTTTTCATGAGCCCTTAGAGCAAACATAGAGATGGTTGAGGAAAGACTCCCTGACACTTATAGGACAGCTTATTTTATTCGCCCAAATATTGTGAACTTCATTTTCTGCAGGAAACACAAATTATTCTCTTACTGTTTATTCTGAGAGGTTCATCATATTTCCTTCTCTCCAATACTCCTTGTCACCAGTCTGCCAATCTTGGTACCTCCAAGTCTGATCAAACCATTAGCCATTGCTTATGAGTCCTGGAGGATTCACACTGCAGGGAATTTATCTTTCCAAACAAATTGGAGCATGAGATATCCCCTGAAAAGTCTTCCCACTGGGAGATATTTATTTTATTCCCTGTTCTTTTGGACTACTTCTATGTGGACTTATAGTCCATTTGAATCTGATGCTTCCATATTGTGCAAAGCCATCTAAAAATCAGGTGCTTGGCAGGGCATGGTGGCTTACACCTGTAACTGTAGCACTTTGGGAGGCCAAGGCAGGAGGATTGCTTGAACTGTGGAGTTCAAGACCAGCCTGGGCAACATAGTGAGATCCTGTCTCTGTAAATTTTTTTTTTTTTTTTTTTAAATCAGACGCTAGTTTTTACCTTTTTAGTCAACTGGTCATGTGGAATTCCTCTTAAGGATATAGGCATGAATTGAAGAAGAGATAGATAGAAATGTGGAAAGAATAGACACCCTGGGAGGTGAGCCATGCAATTTTTACAATCTATTGGATCTGCTAAGTTTATTCATTACATATCACTTTCACGTGATGATGAAGTGCTCTTGGATACACCTTAATGGTGGTTGACAATCCCCTATTTACTAAGGGCAGGCCAATTGCAAGGCTACTAGTTTTACTGTGGTTGGACATTCCATTTCTTCCAGGGCCAATAACAAGCCAGGAGCTGTTTCTCAAGAGTACGTTTGCCTACCTACAGGGCACTGATTTGTTTTGAAGCCCCAGAGGCCCTAACTATCGTTCTTGTATTGGGGCTGGCCATAGGCTCTACATGGCTTTCAGTCAGTCACAGATCTACGAAGTCATGAAGGCCTAGTCTCAGCATCCTCAGCCTACTGCAGACAGAGCCTTTTCTTGCTCTATGTCTCACACAAAGCTGGCAGCCTTATGGGTTACTTGGTAAATGAGCATGGAAGTTCAGTCAAATGTGTCATGTTGCTTCCAAATCTAAAGAGAACTGTTGGCCGGGCGTTGTGGCTCATGCCTGTAATCCCAGCAATTTGGGAGCCCAAAGTGGGCAGATCTCCCGAGGTCGGGAGTTCGAGACCAGCCTGACCAACATGGAGAAACCCCGTCTCTACTAAAAATACAAAATTAGTTGGGCATGGTGGTGCATGCCTGTAATCCCAGCTACTCGAGAGGCTGAGGCAGGAGACTCGCTTGAACCCAGGAGGTGAAGGTTGCGGTGAGCTGAGATCGTGCCATTGCACTCCAGCCTGGGCAACAAGAGTGAAACTCTGTCTCAAAAAAAAAAAAAAAAAAAAAAAAAAAAAAAGAACTGTCAAGCAAGGTGCAACAATGTGACTTTCATTTTGGCATGATATAACCCAAACTTTGGACCCCAGACACTTCATGAAGTAGCACATTCCTGAATTTTTATGAAATTTATCTCTTATAACCTGGTAAGCATGTGTTTCTCCCATCCAACCAGACGACTTGGTACGTCTTGTTCACCAGCTGCTATCAGTATGATGTCATTAATGTAGTGGTCCCGCATGATATTCTATGGAAAGATGTGATTATCAAAGTCCCTGTGGACTAAATGTTGCACAGAGTCTGAAGTTGTTGTATCCCTGATTGTGGAGGCCAAAGCAACTCCATCTTGGATACTAATCTGCCATGTTGACATCTGATTAACCCCAGTTCCAGGAAAGCCTCTAAGATTTCTGGTTTATCTATTGTTCCTTGTGCAAGAGCACCTACTTACCATAAATCCTGCCCTCAGGTCGAAACAACCTTGATACTTCAATTGTCTTACACATCCCTTCAGAGTCACACTTTCCCTGTGGTATATAAGCCCTGGGTCTGGGGAATAATGGTGCAGGGATCCACCATCTTCCTACTGCCTGAGACACAGACATGGCTTCTGTTAATAAGTCCCTGTTAAATGTTTCTTTCTAAGAAACTAGATTTGTCAGCCTCTTTCTTCAGCCTTTCAGCTTCCTTGGACTTTGAGGGTTTGTATAGGTCTGTCCACAGCAGAACACTGATATAAGAAAGTGAAGGTAAAGATACATTGCTCTGCCAGGTGAAAGCAAAGCACTTCTGGAATTCTTTATTTGTCGAGATAGAGAAAAATATGTATTTGAGATCAATGGCTCAAATACTATTTGCCAGGGTCCATGCTTAATTGCTACCCAGTAAATATAATACATCTGGAATGGCAACTTCATTTGGGGTCATTAAACTTACAACAACCTACTGTTTAAGATTTGTCTGTTTTCTACAAAGGCCAAATAAGAGAATTAAATGGGACTTCCACCTTTCAAATATTTGATAATGGCATTAATCCTTGCAATGCCGTCACGAATGCAGTAATGAATGTTTGCCATTTCCTTTTAAGTAAAGAGAGTTCTAAGGACTTTCACTTGATCTTTATTCCAAACTAGCTTTTACTCAGTGGGTCATAGAGTGAGTAAGCATGGGGATTTTGTGGTCGTGTGTTACTCATTTCAACTACACAGTCATGAACTGGTGAAATAAACATGGTGGGACTCATAGCCAACTTCATTTAACCCTTGCTTCAGAATGCCTCTATCTTAGCAGTAGAGCATAGTGATGTTCTATGTTGCCAGGAATTAGTGTTAGCTCAGAGTCAGGGTCAAGTAATCCCCCCAAATTCTAGGTATTCCTTTTTTTCCCCAGGGTACAATTATTCTGAAAAGTATTTGCATGTGCCTTTGGTAACAGTCAATGAAAGATTTATAGTACATGCTTGTGATGTTGTTACATAATCCTTTTTCGAGAGTACCCAATCTCCAATGAAAAGGCTCTGACTTTTTAAACTGATTCATGTCTGGGAATTGAGTGACAGGTAGTGAGTCTCTATAATGGTGGTTCAGATCAACCTTCTGCTTACCAAGTCCAGCACTTTTTTTTTTTTTGATAGGCACATCATGTAGAACCTTAGAGGGTAGCACATTTATTTCAATCATAGAAGCTTCATTATCTCCAAAGATCCATAGAGGTAAGATCATTCTGTTTGTTATTCTGGCCCTGCTACCTGTTTTGGTAACCACATCTACATTTTCTCTGGTAGTTGAGTACATCCATTAGACCTTTGTCATTCTGAGTTTCCATCAGTCACTTAAATCTAGGAGCTCATTATAATGGCAGCACCTTCTATGCTTGTACTCTACTTATAGTATTTAGCTATGAATGTGATTTTAAAGGATGCTGGTGCTTCTGTTATCTATATATTTCTCAATCTTATGGTGAAGAGACTGTCATCTGAACTTCTCGGAGGTTATTTTTGGGGTAGGGGTTGTGAACACATGATAAATCTGCTCTTAAATTCTTCTCTCTTCAGCTTAATTCTTTCCTCTATATTATATCAACTTCTTTCTGACATTTTAACTTCATATAGGTTACTGTTGACTCTAGTTTTCAATCCACCAACTAAGTAAATAAATAGAACACTTCACAGTTGCTTGAGTCAGTAGTTTGAACCTAGAATCTCTGGTAGGTGTTCACACATTGAAAATGCAACCTGATTTAAAATTATATTCTTTTCTCCCTGTTCCAGGCCTATGAGACTTCATTCCCACACAAGTTCATTATAAATATTGTTTTAATTTTTAAGTTAACATACCAGAAAAACGGACTTTTTTGGGGTGTATAATTCTGAGTTTTAACACACATATAGATTTGTGTAATTACCACCACAATCAGTATACAGAATAATTCCATCACCCCAAATAACACCCTTGACCTGTCTCTTTGTATTTACACCCATGTCCTACTCCTAACCTTCAGAAACCATTGACCTGTCCCCTATCACTATAGCTTTTCCATTTTGAGAATATCATATTAATGGAATCATATAGTATGCAGCCTTTTGAGACTGGCTTCTTTCGTTCAGCACAGTGCATTTGAGATTCATGCATATTATTGGTGTGTATCAGTAATCCTTTCCTTTTTATTGCTGAATATTCCATTGAATGGTTATACAACAATTTGTTTATCCAGTTCCTCTTTGAAGGACATTTGGTTGTTTCTCACTTTAGGTGATTATGAATAGAACTCCTATATAAACATTCATGTACAGGTTTTTGTGTGAATGTAAGTTTTCGTTTCTTTAGAGAGTGGGATTTATTTCAATACTTGCAGTGGGATTACTGGGTCATACGGTAGGTGTATGTTTAGCTTTATAAGAAACCGTCAAACTGTTTCCCAAAGTGAATTTATTACTGTGCATTCCCATTAACGACGTATGAGAGTTTCAGTTGCTTGCCATTCTTGCCAGCATTTGGTACTGTCAGTTTTCTAAATTATGTTAGCCATTCTAATAAGTGTGTAGTGGTATCATGTCCTGATTTTAATTTGTGTTTTCTTAATAGCTAATGATGTACATCTTTTCAGGTGTGAATTTGCCACTTACGTATCCTCTTTATCTAAGTATTTTGTGATTTTTGAAGTTGGGTTGTCTGCTTTCTTACTGTTGAGTTTTTTAGAGTTAAGAAAAATACATTCTAGATAGAAGTTCTTTGTCAGATATGTGACTTGAATGTATTTTTTCCCAATCTGTATCTTGTTTTTTCATTTTCTTAACAATACCTCTCACAGAGCAAAAAGTTGTAATGTAGATAAACTCAACTTTTTATTTTATTTTATTTTTTAAGGATTATGCTTTTGGTGTCATGTCTAAAAACTTTTTGCTAAAAATCACAAAGATTTTTTCTTATATTTTCTTCTAAAAGTTTTATAGTGTTAAGTTTTACATTTAAATCTCTGATCCATTTTAAGTTAAAAAAATAAGCTGTGAGGTTTAGAATGACATTCATTTTATTTTGCACTTGGATATCCAGTTGTTCTAACACAATTTGTTGAAAGAAATCTTTTCGCATGTAAGTTGGCTTTGCACCTTTGTCAAAAATCAGCTTTCCCTATATGCATGCTGATTCTTCTAGTCTCTTTATTTTGTTCCATTGACCTATCAGCCTGTCCCTTCACCAATACTGTACTGTCTTGATTACTGTAGCTTTATAGCAAGTCTTCAAATTGGTTATTGTAATTCCCACAACTTTATTCTTTATAAAATTGTTTTGATTGTTCTAATTCTTTTGCCTTCCATATCAATTTTAGAATTAGTTTGTCTAAATCTATAAAAGTTCCTGATAAGATTTTGATCAGAAGTAAATTAAAGTATAAGTCAATAGCTTTATCTTGTTGGATCTCCAAACATCCATATAGGTAAGTTTATAGATAAACTTGCCTATTTTCAATTCTGCTTTTCAATTGCCTATTTTCAATTGAGCCATCCAGTGAGGTTTTAATTTGTGTAATTGTGTTTTTCAGTTTTAAAATTTTTTTATCTGGCTCCTTTTTATGTTTCTATTTCTTGGCTGAGGCTTTCTATCTTTTTTATTTTGGCAAATCCTTACTTCTTAAACATTTTTGTAATAACTGCTGTAAAGTCTTTGATATTTCCAACATCCGTGAGACATCTCCACATTGGCATCTGTTGATTGTCTTTTCCCATGTGAACTGGGATTTTTTTTTGCTTCTTCTTATGCCGAGTAATTTTTAATTTTATTCTGAATATTTTAAATATGATGTTGGGAGACTCTGGGTCTTATTTAAATCCTATGGAGAATGTTGATACTTTTAGCAGTAAACTGACCTAGTTGGGTTCAGGCTGCAACTTCCAGTTAACCTTCTGTGAGTTGTAGTTTCAATGCCAGTTGGGTTTTCAAAGTCTTTGTAGTGCTCATTGATTCTGTTTTTGTGTGTCACCCATGGTCAGCCTGGGGTCTGGGCGGTGGTCTGTCTTGTGACTCAGTTTTTGGTACGCTGTTTAGCGTCAGATCTACACATGTGGGGCTCAAGGGTGAGCCCATAGTTTATAAACAACTTTATAGGATTACTTTTCTGAGCTCTTCCCTCTCTGTAATTTTTATGAGATTTTCCATGTCCCGGGTATTTCTCCTTTTGGTCCTCTATCCAGAAAACTGAGGCCATAGACACCCTCACTCTGTCTTGTACTTCCTGCAACTATACTTACATCTGGAACCAAGCCATGGAAGGAAAAAGAGAGACAAACAACCTTCAGGGCTTGCCTCATTCTCTTGGGTTTATGATTCCTCAAATTGGAGATGAAGATTCCCTTCCTCAAAGTTTAAGAGTCTGAAGAAACCCTGCTATCACTTCCTGTTCTATCCCTATGAGATTGCCTGGAAGTTGAAGCCTGAGAGAATGGTCAGAAGAGGGAAAAACAGGAAGAAAAAACTGGAGAATTTTTCTACTTTCTCTGAGCATTAGAAGTTCTCTCTCTTGCTCCTTGAGCCAGAGCCAGAGGGCTCCTCCTTGAGAGCTCTCTGTCCACGCCTGGTATCTACTTTTAGGATTCTGAGTCTCTTGAGTCTAGGCTGGGGGATATCAGAGAAAAATGAGAATATTCACCATCAGTTCAGTGGTTCTTTGAGTTCTAGTCTAATTCCTCACCTTCAACTTTTTATTTTTATGGTTTTTTTTTTTTTCAGAGACAGGGTCCTGGCTCTGTTGCCCAGGCTGAAGTGCAGTAGTGTGATCATAGCTCACTGCAGCCTTGAACTCCTGGGCTCAAGCAATCCTCCAGCCTCAGCTTCCTAAGTAGCTAGAGCTCCAGTCATGGGCCACCATGCCCAGCTAATTATTGTTTTAAAATTTTTTTGTAGAGATGGGGGTCTCACTTTTTTGCCCAGGCTGGTCTTGAACTCTTGACCTCACGTGATCCTCCTGCCTCAGCCTCCCCAAGTGCTGGGATTACAAAGCATGGGCCACTGCACCCAGCCTAGTATTTACTTCTCGGAGACCTCAGATACCTCCCTGCACTTGATCCAGGTTTTATATGTATATTCACTGGGAGATACAGAATACAGTGTGCTTACATCATCTTACCTGGAAACAAAATTCCCTCCGCATATTTTTGACAATGTACATGGCAAAGTCCTGCATTTCTTTTGATGTATTGGCCACCTTCTGCCAAGCATAACTTTGTAATTGGCCTCCTAGAGAATACTGTGATTTCACCCTCATGATAGGTCTGGAGGCAATGAGAGGATAGACATAGGTCCTAAAGAGAATCCTTAAAATGTAACTATCTCAGGTAAGGTAATTACAGGGTACTTACACAGGGTAGAACCAGCTTCATGACACAGGGAAAGAGGAAGCTCAGTGGCTTTTGGAGATTAGGGTCGTAAGGGCCATGTGGATTTTCCAAAATATCATTATTCCAGTTCTTGGGGTCTTCTTTTTCCTAACAACTGTCCTTTCAAAAGACACAATAGGGCTTTGGGTTCAAACACTAATGCCATTTGACAAACCACCAGATTCTGAGTCTGATTTTAGTTATATCAGCCCTGCTGGAGATAAGAGATTCATTCTTTCTCAGTAGTTGTAGAAACTCCTTGGTTTTCTAACCATACTTTGAGCTGAAAACTTAAAACCCCAGCCTTTCATTTTTATCTTCTAAGCTTACTAGTGCAGTTATAAATCAGTAGTTTACTCCCCAGTCCTTATATTCCTCAGGCCTTTGATAATGTTCTACCATAGCTGCCGCTCTGACTACCAAAGTCTTCATTCTATGTTCTTCATTTCTGGTAGACACAGGTTATATAAGAAACAAATTTGTCACTAGGTGTTTTAGAGTAGCAATATCACGTTCTTTATTGAGAACTAGATCCTCGCCCTCTCAGGTTAGACAGCCTATCTGTCCTGGAGTCTCATTTCCTCAAAGGTCTATTGCTCCTTGTATCATCTGTTTTTGCTCAGGGTTCAATTGCAGACAACAGAAGCCATTTTGCCAAATTTAAGCAGAAACGGAGTTAAAATAGTATATGTGGAAGTCAGAATTCTAAAATGGCTCCCAAGATTCTTCCCCCATAGTATATATGTGTTGTCTAATCCCTCTCTTGGAGTGTGGGCAGAACTTTGAATATGACCGAATATCCTTTGGTTATGTTACATGATATGGAAATAGGAATTTTGTAGTAATTAAGATCCCTAATCAATTTACTTTGATTAATCGAAAGTGAGATTATTCCAGGTGGGTCTGACCTAATCACACTATACCTTAAAAGATACAAGAAGAAATAGCAGATGCTCTTCTGTGGTCCGTAAAGGAGCAACCTGTCATATTGTAGAGAGGGCCATGTGGCAAACACCTAAAGGTGGTCTCTAGGAACTGGTAGGGGTCCCTGGTTGATAGTTAAGAAAATGGGGATCTTAGTCACAAGGCCACAAGGAAACTAATTCTGCCAACACCCTGAGAGAGCTTGGAAGTGGGTCTTTCCCTAGCCAAGTCCCTGATGAGGATACAGGTAGGTGACATGTTAATTTCAATGAGACCCTGATCAGAGGAAGTAGCTAAAGTGTGCTGAACTCTTGATCCATGGAATGTGTGAGATCATAACTGTGTGTTGTTTTAAGCTGCTAAGTTTGTGGCAATGTTTTACACAGCAATAGAAATGAATACAGTATGCTAACAAGCTTACAGAATTTCTAGAAGTTCCAGGACCCAAGTTCGAAAGCCACAAAGCCGGAATTGACACAGGTAGGAGATATGTCCAACCATACAATGAGACTTATAGCTGAAACCCTGTTGCTGCTTCCATCTGAAGCACACCATTCATCAAACCAGGGATCAAACACCATGACTAAGAGCTGTCTATTTCAATAGGGCTCAGAGGACATGTCGCAATGTTGTTTTCTCATCTGTGAAAGAAAAATAACCATAGTGTTTACCTAAATAATTATTATAAATAAGTAGTTATAAGGATGAAATAAAATAAAGCTTTGTAAAGCATTCGAGTAGTATACAGCTCTTGATGTTCTGTATGTATTAGTTATTATTACTAAAGATGGACTTTCCCAAGGCCATGAAACTAGTAGGTAGCTCAGTGGAGACTTAACTTTGCATCTTTCTACTATCAAAACCTATTCTTCTTCTTTTTTTTTTTTTTGAGACAGAGTTTCGCTCTTGTTGTCCAGGTTGGAGTGCAATGGCGTGATCTCGGCTCACTGCAACCTCCGCCTCCCAGGTTCAAGTGATTCTTCTGCCACAGCCTCCTGAGTAGCTGGGATTATAGGCACCCGCCACCACACCTGGCTAATTTTGTATTTTTAGTAGAGACAGGGTTTCTCTGTGTTGGTCAGGCTGGTCTTGAACTTCTGACCTCAGGTGGTCCACCCACCTTGACCTCCCAAAGTGCTGGGATTACAGGCATTAGCCACTGTGCCAGGCCCCCTTCTTCTTTTTATCCCTTCTTGACTTTAGCAGAAAGAGTGATCCAGAAACTCAGTTTGAAAGAAACTGTGCCAATTTTCCATTCTTAGTCTCTCCCAGGAGAGAAAGATCCACCTCAAAGAGGCAGAGGAAATCCTGCATAATGGAGCATGAATGTTTTATGAATTTGGTCCTCACTGAGTAAACTAAAGGGTCAATAACATACTCATTAATAAGTGTGGCATTTTGTTTGGAATTTTGAAAATGCTCGGACTATGCACAACCACATGAACTCATGAGGACTTGTTGAAATTCCCCAGATCAGTTTCCTTGCTTTCATAAGAGTCCCTCTTTCCTGACTTCTGCCTCTGGTGTCATATACCATTTTCCAAATATACATCTCTTTTTCTCCTCTATCAATTGTCTGGAATTCTTCTCTGCCTGTCATTGGGAGGAAAGGGTGTGAAAGTTTGGAACTTCTGCCTTTATTGGCTATGGAAGACGTGTGTGTCTGTGTGTGGGCATGGGCATGTGCATGGTGTGTATGGGGGTGGAGAGTGAGGCAGATGGTTTGGTGATGATGTTATAGACCCTCAGAACTGATGCAAAGGAGAGGAATTCTGTCCAATAAGGGTGCAGAGTAAAGGGGCTAGTGAAGCTGTATCTAAACCAGGGGTAAAATGACTAATGGTATCAAGAAGGAATATAGTTAGCCATGCTCAGAAATATAATCATCATGAAAGTAAAATATTTAAAGCCAAGATGCTAATTTAAAAAATATATATTAAAGGTGGCAGTGACCTGGGATATTTTCCCAGAGAGCCATGGATGGCCAGTGGTTGTGGAGAGGTCTTGGAAGCTATTCATGTAGTCAGGACTTAAGCAGCATCTAGGTCAACATAAGCCCTACATATTAGTCATAGCCCTTGACTGTAAACAACAGGACTTGCTCTGGCTAATTTGAACCAAAATAGATTCACCTGGAAGGATTTAACTTCACTTTGTACAGCAAATAAATGACAGAAATCTGGAGAGCTGGGTTTCGAGTGGTGAGATATATGGACCACTGAGTAGGATGATGCTCGATTTATATAATAAAAATATTTCAAGAGAATTCTGTCTTCAGGTAATGGCAGACGACTTTATGCCAGATAAACTTTCCCACTGACGACAATATTAAATTCTTGGCAAAATACTGAAAATAATTATTTGAAGGCACAGTAGAGTGAGAAAAACCAGGGGCTACCACCCATGAAATAAGGCAAATACCCTAGGCAAAACCCACATTTGTCTGACGTTTTCTTGAAGGCATTCCCCGTCGAAGCAATGTATGGGAGTAGAGCTAAATCAGAATACAGAATTCCTGGTCAGGTGCGGTGGCTCACGCCTGTAATCCCAGCACTTTAGGAGGCCAAGGCGGGCTGATCACCTGAGGTCAGGAGTTCGAGACCAGCCTGGCCAACATATAGTGAAATTCCATCTCTGCTAAAAAAAATAGGAAAATTAGCTGGGCGTGGTGGCACATGCCTGTAGTCCTAGCTACTTGGGCAGCTGAGGCAGGAGAATCACTTGAACCCAGGAGGCGGAGGTTGCAGTGAGCCAAGATCGTGCCACTGCACTCCAGTCTGGGTGACAGAGTCAGACTCCATCTCAAAAAAAAAAAAAAAAAGAGAATCCAGAATTCCTAATAGACTGAGTAGACAGAGTGACTAGAATGGCTGTAAATTGAGAGGGTGGGTGTCCAGGAAAAGAGGGAGTCATCTGAGACAGAATGGGGTTCACCTGGCACTCAAGAATCCACATGGACCTTCCCTCAAATCCTTAGCTGACTCCTACACTGTGAAGACATGGGGCAAGACTCCAAGGAACCCCAGAAGAAAGTCCCAGGGATCTTACTAATCAGATGTTATAGCAACTCCCCAGGGTTGTGGACACAAAATTTAGAGTTCAAGTTTTGGCAAGTTAGGGAGGCTCGGCAAAGCTTTCTGTTAAAATGCCAGAAGGGCCAAACCCTAGGAGTAAGGATCATATGCAAGGACTAAGGACTACTCCTTAGGATGAGGGGAAAAACAAAAAGACCTACCCCAACAAAACTTAAAATCAAGACTCCACAAGATTGTGGTTATCTGCCTATAATTTAGCTTCTTGCTAGAATAAAAATCAATACTCTTCTAAGGAAGACAACAGCATCCAGAGTCTCTACAACCTGTCATCCACACTGTACAAGATATAGTATGACATGAGACGACACAGGAAAATGGGACCTATAGACAAGAGATAAACCAGT